>NC_000011.10:36272121-36423636 GCF_000001405.40 Homo sapiens | reverse complement strand
CACCCAATTAGCTCTTTTTCCATTTTGGGAGTCCTGCTTGTTAGAGGAGCCTGTCCAGCTGATCAAAGAACAGCTGAAACTTCTCTCTCCTCCTCAATTTGGATTTAGAAATCACAAAAGTTACCTTCACCACTCTTGATCTTCTCTCCATCCAGCTTGCCGTGAATCCTTAGAAGTCCTACCTTTGTCCCAACAAAGTATAATTGCCTTTTCTGGGCCTGATTTAAACTCTTTGCCATCCATCCGGGTCTTCAGTTAACGCTACACTCCTTCAGCTCTCTGCCATATGCTGTAAACTCTAGGGGAAACTGGCCTCCTGGGACTCTTGCAGATATGAGCAGCAAATGGAAAAATACATATATATGCATACATGCACACACACGTACACATACATGCACACAAATGTATCTCACACATTACCAGGTATCCATGACCTATTGACAACGGTAGTAGCTAAGTTTCCTCTCTTCCTAGTATTAACCCATTCAAAGCCACTGACTCTAGCCTGAGTTTCTATATCAAGCAAAACTCCAGTTCCAACAAAAGGAATTGAACTTTCTGGGCTTGGGGCAAAAGCTTATAACACACAAAACAAAGCCAGTAGATACAGAATAGCAGAAAGTGCAATCTGCAAACACACCCATGCTCTGAACCACCAAGATACCTAATGAGGTAAATAGGAAAATCCAGAACGTTTCATATCATCAGTTTCAAAAATTACAAGAAACCAATTATCCCTCAGAGCTGTTACTAGTATATAGTGTTTCTCTCGGAAACCCCAATTTTCCTTCCGGACACAATTCAAAACAGAGGGAAAGGGAAAAAAATCAATACTGGAAATGTCAGAGACTTTTCCAGCCAGTGCCTTATGGACGTGTAGCTGGGCTTCTGCAGATCACACAGCTTGTCTTCTCTGTGTGCAGGCATGAGATAAGCACAATTTTCCTACCTGCTTTCTCTTGGCCTCACCTGGGGTCATTTTCATTATTCCCCACTCAGGACATTCTGTGTTAAGACTCACAGAATGTAAATGAGAATGTTCGCTTTCAAAAGCAGAGCCACAGAAAGGGCTGTATGAGTGGCAAGCTCAGAGTTGGGGGTCAGGGTGAGGAGACAGACTTGACTGCTGAATGCAGATGTCTAGGCATGGCCATCTGAGCCTCTGCAATGCAGAGCCCAGCACCCAGGAAGCCCATCTTTCACCTTTCCCAACAGCCAGGTCCATGGTTTTGGTGACTTTCCTGTCCACCCCTGGGTTCCATTCCTCATCTGTCTCCAGGCCTTCCTTCTGCCCCTTTACTGGAGGAACACACTTTCTGGAGTTCCTCCTGACTTTCCCTCCTGAAACGACATCTGACAGTCAAATGTGAAGGCTAAGCTCGCCTCTACAAGCCTTCCCTCTGGGACGTGTCTCCTTATATGGAGATTTCTTCTGTAAAGTGAATGGTTTGAAACCAGCCCATTTTTAAGCAGTGCCTGGTAATGGGCTTTCCAAATCTGAGTCTCTGTTGAACCACCTGCATGACTAGGGCCAGAGCCAGGGCCACCTACATGATTATTCTTTGCATACTATTTTTCTTATATCAATCCACTTTTTAAACAAGTAAATACGTTTAAAACAGAAACCACAGCAACATAATTTACACTAAGTGGAATGGAACTCAATGATCAACTCAATGCCAACAAAATAATGTTAAGAAATCCTAACTAGTCAGCATCCCTAGCTGAAGACACTAAGTTCGAGGACTGCTCCTCCTTCTTCAAACGAGGGAGATTTCCAAGTCCTGGAGGAGGGGAGAGGACACCATGGTACAACTCAAGATCCTCTCTAGCACAATCCCAAGGGCGAAAGGAAAATAAAAGAGGAGAGCAGTTTCTAACCACAAGCCCTAATGTTATTTAATGTCATTGCACGCATCGCCTAAAATCATTTCAGTGATCTGTGGCAGAAAATCCCTCCCTCTCTCCCAGGAAGGTTTACTGAGTATCTACTTTGTTCCAGGAACTTTGTAGGGAGTGGGGAACCAAAAGACTAAAAAAGAAAGAAAAAAAAGCTGTGTGCCCACATGACACTTAAAATCTATTAAAAAAAGAAAAAAACAAAACTGTATCTAGGAGAGCCTTCTTTCCAGATCAGCACCTTAAATAAACTTCGATTTAAAACTGTGAAAACTAGTTCTCGCCCCACACCCCAGCAAGAGATTCTGTATTCACAAAGCAGCATTTCTGATTATGTTCCCGGTAGGAAATGACAAGTGGTTATTAGTTGTTAAGCATCTGGCATGCTTCGTAAGCAGTATTAACCGCCCCCAAAAACCTCAAGGCTTCCCAGATAAACAAGTCCCCACCCAAACACCCTTTCCTATCTGTCCTAGGGGTAACCCCCAGCACCAAAAGACAAATGACATTTAAAACCTGATTGAAACCACACCAAACCATGGAGCTTTTAAATGTCAAGGAGGAAGGCAATTCAACCCAGCAGGTTTCTCCAGGACTGACTGAAAAACCACTTCTCTGTAGTTAGCTTTAAAAAAAATCAATCAGTAGAGACAGCAAGAGAAGAGAGTGAGGCCAAGACTGACCTTTGAGTCAAGGGTGACTGAAATGATTCACATTTGTGACTAATTATCTCTCTCTTAATCTTTATGTTTGTCTCTCCCTGAACAGGAGCTGTCTTCCAAGCAGCTGAGACATATGACCCGATTGAATTCCAGGCTTCTGTTGGGTCTTGGTTTGTCCAGATTTAGAGGAGCTGTCCGTGTGTGTGTGTGTGTGTGTGTGTGTGTGTGTGTGTGTGTGTGTTTAAACAACTGACATGTCATTCTTTTAAAGTGCACATAAAAGTTTAAGCTTCCTGAATCTCATAAAGAAAAATTATAAAAGGATGCCTGTACTGTTTTCAAAACCTAAAATCTCTTTAAACTGTCTTAAAAGTATGCTCTATTTGGACACAGAATAACATTGCTAACTTGAAACCAAGATGTTAGGCATTTCATGCTACTTTCCCATTAAAAGAGATGGATTACACCTTAGAATAACACATAGGCACTTATATAAACTTAATAAGCACTTATTACTGTCTTACTCTCTGCTAGTCACTGAGCACTTTTTATAAATAACTTATTTAGTCTTCACGACAACCCTATAAGGTTTGGTCCTATTACTGCTGTTTCACAGAAAAGGAAATACAGAGAGGTAAAGCAACTTGCTCAAGGTCACATAGCTAGTAAGTGGCTATGCTGGGCACTGAACCCAAGCACTCTGCCTCTAAAGGCTGTGATCTTGACCACTACCCTATACTGCCCCCCTACACACTACGTACAGAGTGCTTTACATGTGTTATTTCACATAAAGCATATAATAAACTTTTAAGGTAAGTTGTATTTTTAGTCCCATTTCGCAGATGAGGAAACTGAGGCACAGGGAGGTGAAACAGCTTGCCCACTCAGCAAATGAGTGAGAAGTAGGGATTCTGACTTCACTAAGGTGCCGTCCAGTCAGTGACTCCTTGTCACTCAACACTCCCCATTCCCTCTCCACCATATGCCTTTGGTTAGAGTCATGAAAACAGCTTGCGTCTGTGAATTAGAAACTATCCTCTGATTGGTCCTGGAACCTTAAACTCACTAGCTTTATACCAACAATGTATAGACAGGGGAGAAGTCTGACTGATCCAGACAATGGATCCAGATGTGGTATGATTCAGGGTCCCCTGGGGGACCCCCACTACCCAAACTCTTTCAAGGGATCCCCATGGTCAAAACTATTTTCTCGGTAATACTAAGCTATTTGTTTTTTTCCCTTACATTCTCCACGAGTTTACAGTGGAATTTTCCCAAAACTACGTGGCATGCAATATCATTACAAATTGAAAGTGAAGCAGATATAAGAATCCAACTGTCTTCTATGAAGCCAGACAATGCAGAGATCTCCTTTCTATTTTATTCTGAGTTGTTTTTCATAAAAATGTAATTAGCACTAGTATGTAATAGGCTTATTACTTAAATACATTAAGACATATTTTAAAGCTCTTCAGGTTTAATTTCTATTATGGTAAAGATAGACATAACCCAAATAAGCAATACGTTTTACGAGTGTAAAGGGGTCCTGAGACCAAAATGCCTGAGAACTGCTGCATGAGACTGTGATCTCCATTAACTGCTGGGAGACACAGGAGTGGTGCCCCTCTGCAACGTGCAGCACACAGCAGGGACTTGAGATACGTAATTTTGTCTGTTGAAGGAATGTCCAACTGTACAGTATTGGCCACCCCTTTTAGGTCCATGCCCCCACATGCATGATAATGATGGATGCTCAGATCCACACAGCTTACCTGAAAATAGTCTGTAATGAATGATCCAAGTTCACTCTTCAACAGCCGCCTGGGGAGAAGGGAGAAGAGAAACACCGTCAAGCAGCCCTTGATGGTACAGCTCATGGTGACAATGTGCTCACCAGTGGCACGGGGTGGGGCCAGGTCTGAGATCTTGAGGGCACTTTCTTAGGTCCTGGTCCCCCTTCCCCCATTGTTATCATGGAATTGCAGTGATGGGAAGCCTAGAAGGAGATGCGTTCCTCAGTTCACTCTGAGAAAGTAGCACTGTGAAGAGGGCAGCTGGCCAAAGGAAATCCTAATTCTAGCAGAGCTGGTAGGGGCAGGCCAGGGCACCTGACTTTATATGAAGCAAAAAGAAGGAAGAGAAAGATCATCATTTTGCACTCCTCCACATTTGCAGAGCACTTTATAGTTTAAAACACATTTTTCATACATTCTTCAACTAAGGATTATAAAATGTATGTGGGGTGGGGTAGGAGTAATTATTTATTATTATTATTTTTTTGAGACAGAGTCTCGCTCTGTCTCCCAGGCTGGAGTGCAGTGGCGCAATCTTGGCTCACTGCAAGCTCCGCCTCCTGGGTTCATGCAATTCTCCTGCCTCAGCCTCCCGAGTAGCTGGGACCACAGGCGCCCGCCACCATGCCCGGCTAATTTTTTGTATTTTTAGTAGAGACAGAGTTTCACCATGTTAGCCAGGATGGTCTCGATCTCCTGACCTCGTGATCCGCCCGCCTCGGCCTCCCAAAGTGCTGGGATTACAGGTGTGAGCCACCGCGGGTAGTAGTAATTATTATTCTTCCTGTACAGATTTTTAAAATTATGCCTCAGAGAGTTCCCCAAAATAAGTCAGTGGCAGAGCCAAGATGTGAACCCAGACTTTCTGCAAATTCAACATCTTTTCCCATAACTCCACCCTGTCTCTCCTCCAAATCCAGAACCCCCTCCCCTCACCCTAACTTAAAATTCAACTTGGTACCATGGTTTGGGTGGTCTTACAACCCATGCCCAATGGACTGAGGCAGTCTTCCAAGGGGACCACAGCAGGGACAATAGAGAGATTTTATTTATCCAGCAACGAAGATGTATTGAGCAGCTCTTTATGTGTTACACGTTGTTCTAGCACAAGGAGTTCAAAGGTGAATGAGACAGACAAGGTCTCTGCTCTCTTCTTGGGGGCTGATGGATAGATAGCACGTTAATAAATATACTCACAAGATGATTTCAACGAATCTTAAGTGCTAATAAAATACAAATGGAAAATAGGGATATTGACACCAGCTCTCCTTTTCCCTGTGACAAATAATGGAACTATCCATACTATTCTTTATTTTGATCCAGACAAGGTAAGGGAACAAAAAGCAAGAATAACTGGCTCCCCAGATCCAGTGAGTAAACCCTTCATGATTTCAAATGACTTTCTTTGCTCATCCCATTGGCTATGGCTATTAAGGAGCAAATGCTCAAGTTTCTGACGACGCTTGCTGAGTATTCACTCCCCCAAAACACGTTCACTCATGTCACTGAAGGATAAACAGGAGGTTACAGCAAGATGTTATGTGCAGAGAAAACAGGCACAATAAAATTAAGACAAAAGAATAGAGAACCACCCATGATTTGAATTACTGTAGCAGAAAAAGCCCTGGAAAGCCACAAACACACGTTGAACAAAGAAAATACCTTCCTTTTCCCATGACAGAATATTTGTCTGTTGTGGATGCTGCATTTTGAGGGCCAATTTAAAGGCAGTCTCATGGAGGGCCACCCTGTCAACACAACCCAGGAGTTCTCTCAGATGTGGGCAGGTCTGATCCGAGAGGGAAGCCTTCATCAAAAGCCACTGGACTAAGAGCGGGTTGGGCATCACTAGTCTTTGAGGCAGAGGCTAGACATGTCTCTCAGACAGGAAACAGCAACCTATGGGGCAGCCCCAAGTGGACGGAGGCTTTGAAACAGGAAGAGGTAAGGAGATTGCTTCTGACCACAGGAGGGAGAAACACCTCCTAACAAAGTCTTCGTCATCCTTGGGAAGTCTCAAAACCATAGGTGAAGAAGCCAAGCTTTGCGCACAAGTGGAAAAACAAGTCCTACTGATAGGCTACTTAGGAGAGAGCTTCCCAAGGAGATATCTTGGGTACTCATGATGCTGAGGGACTAATGTGCTTCTGAGATCAAATAATACGCTGTGGAATTGGTGTCCCAAGGAACCCACAGTGGGAAAACACTATGCTCATGAAGATGCCATGGGTAAGATTGAAAAAGAAAAAGGTCGGGGTTAAGGGGGACTTCAAAATAAAAAACTATGGACACACTCCTGGAGAGCAGCACGGAGGAGGGATCTATGATGGTGTAATAATTGTGAGTTTGGGCTAGATATGACTGAACAAGTAAAGGTTGCCCCAGGCATCTCACAGCGGGATGCAGAAAAGCATCCTGATGCTACCCAGTTGAGGAATCCAAGACATCTCCTCCCCTCCTATCAGGGAGGGCACGAAGGGGCTTCACTCTACAGGGAGGGTGGAAGCACAGCAGCCTTACATTGCAGCTAGGGTGCAGCAAGCCACAGCCAAGGCCAGAATTCTGCAGAGTGTCCCAGGAAGAGAAAAGTCTAGGTAGAAATCAGCCAATAACAGAGCAGAAGCTAAAGAGCAGACAATGCAACTTCCAAGACAAAGACTTAGCAGAAAGGACTCTGAAGCTAGAAGCAGCTGTAACAGGGGGGATGAGATGGTAATGGTTAGGAATAAAGAAGTAGAACATGAAGAGGGGCCTTTCGCCATGCTGATAGTGATAACCATTTCTTTACTGAGGAGGAACCAGACACGATGTGGTAATCTGCTTTATATACTTTAAATGTAATGGGCCATAGCCAGGTACAGTAGGAGAACCACACACTTGTCCTTTTATAAAATCCAGAATGCAAAACCTTCTCCACTAGGTACTGTTCATAGAATTATCTGAACAGAAAAGACCTTTCTTAATAATTTAAGTCAAGATTCTATTGCTCTACCTGGGCAAATCAGTAAGCTACACTGCCCTTATCCCTTACAAAATCCTGCCTTCTGTCTGGGCATGATAACATGGTTAGACAGGGTCACATGTTATATATATATATGCAGAGTTTTTCATTGCAGCAAAATATAGAAATCAACATAAATATGCACCAATAAAGTGCTAATAAAAAGATTATGTTCATCCAGGCAATGGAATTCTATGCAACTATTTTAAAAAGGGTGTGAAGAAGTGCTCTAAATAATATGAAAGATCTAAGTCATAGTAAGCAAAGAAACAATGCAAGATACAGAACAGTGTGTACATACAACAGGCTACCTTGTAAAATGGGAAGAGAAAAATAAGAATACACATTTTAGTTTACACAACACTAACATATTTGTTGGTCAATTCCACTCTTATAACTTGCTGTTCAAGTCTGTATTACTATATGAAGGGGTTTCCCCATAGGCCCTTAGAATTGAAATATATAGCTCCTTGATTTTTAAACACAGAGAACACATATGCATTTTATTTATTTTTTAATTAATTAACTGTTTTTTATTGAGACAGAGTTGCACTCTGTTGCCCAAGCTGGAGTGCAGTGGTGTGATCTCAGCTCACTGCAACCTCTGCCTCCCGGGCTCAAGCAATTCTTATGCCTCAGCCTCCTGAGTAGCTGGGAGAGCAGGCGCGCAACACTGCTCCTGGCTAATTTTTCTATTTTTGGTAGAGATAGGGTTTCACCCTTTTGGGCAGACTGACCTCAAACTCCTGACCTCAGGTGATCTGCCCACCTTGGCCTCCCAAAGTGCTAGGATTACAGGCATGAGCCACTGTGCCTGGCCCACAGATGCATTTTTAAAAATCATATGTAAAGAAGCACTGGGTTGTGTGTCCTCTTCTCTATGTCTACATGTAAAGCCTTGGAGAAGCTTGAAGTTGTTGCTGGAAATTACGTAAGGCAACACAACACTTTAGCCAGCTTGATTCCCTGAAGTTTGAGGAAGATGCTGTCCCACAAACACCACATCACCAGAACCCAGTCTAGTCCACAGACCCTGTAGAAAGTATCCAGTATCTACTTTAAAGTTCATATGGAACCAAAAAAGAGCCCGCATCACCAAGGCAATCCTAAGCCAAAAGAACAAAGCTGGAGGCATCACACTACCTGACTTCAAACTATACTACAAGGCTACAGTAACCAAAACAGCATGGTACTGCTACCAAAACAGAGATATAGATCAATGGAACAGAACAGAGCCCACAGAAATAACGCTGCATATCTACAACTATCTGATCTTTGACAAACCTGAGAAAAACAAGCAATGGGGAAAGGATTCCCTATTTAATAAATGGTTCTGGGAAAACTGGCTAGCCATATGTAGAAAGCTGAAACTGGATCCCTTCCTTACACCTTATACAAAAATTAATTCAAGATGGATTAAAGACTTAAACGTTAGACCTAAAACCATAAAAACCCTAGAAGAAAACCTAGGCATTACCATTCAGGACATAGGCATGGGCAAGGACTTCATGTCTGAACACCAAAAGCAATGGCAACAAAAGCCAAAATTGACAAATGGGATCTAATTAAACTAAACAGCTTCTGCACAGCAAAAGAAACTACCATCAGAGTGAACAGGCAACCTACAAAATGGGAGAAAATTTTCACAACCTACTCATCTGACAAAGGGCTAATATCCAGAATCTACAATGAACTCAAACAAATTTACAAGAAAAAAACAAACAACCCCATCAAAAAGTGGGCGAAGGACATGAACAGACACTTCTCAAAAGAAGACATTTATGCAGCCAAAAAACATGAAAAAATGCTCAGCATCACTGGCCATCAGAGAAATGCAAATCAAAACCACAGTGAGATACCATCTCACACCAGTTAGAATGGCAATCATTAAAAAGTCAGGAAACAACAGGTGCTGGAGAGGATGTGGAGAAATAGGAACACTTTTACACTGTTGGTGGGACTGTAAACTAGTTCAACCATTGTGGAAGTCAGTGTGGCGATTCCTCAGGGATGTAGAACTAGAAATACCATTTGACCCAGCCATCCCATTACTGGGTATATACCCAAAGGACTATAAATCATGCTGCTATAAAGACACATGCACACGTATGTTTACTGTGGCACTATTCACAATAGGAAAGACTTGGAACCAACCCAAATGTCCAACAATGATAGACCGGATTAAGAAAATGTGGCACATATACACCATGGAATACTATGCAGCCATAAAAAAATGATGAGTTCATGTCCTTTGTAGGGACATGGATAAAAGTGGAAATCATCATTCTCAGTAAACTATCACAAGGACAAAAAACCAAACACCGCATGTTCTCACTCATAGGTGGGAATTGAACAATGAGAACACATGGACACAGGAAGGGGAACATCACACTCTGGGGACTGTTGTGGGGTGGGGGGAGGGGGGAGGGATAGCATTAGGAGATATACCTAATGCTAAATGACGAGTTAATGGGTGCAGCACACCAGCATGGCACATGTATACATATGTAACTAACCTGCACATTGTGCACACGTACACTAAAAGTATAATAATAATAAAATAAAATAAAATAAAATAAAAAATAGAAATAAATAAAATAAAGTATACAGTATCATCAGCTGTGTTTCCATATGTATTCCTTATACATGCATAAAGAAACTCTGGAAGAATACCCAATAAGCTACCGTTACTAATACTTATCTTTAAGGAAAAGAGAATGGAAAACTGGTTTCTGGGATACAGGGGTGGAGACTCTACTGTATACCCTTGCTATATGCGTAAAATTTTTGAACCATGTCAAAACAATCCTATTCAGAAACAAATTTTTAAGATTCTGAAGTTAATAACCACCACCAAGGTTACCGCAGCATGGCCAGAAGCCCGAGAAAGAATCGCAGGAGTAAGTCCCTACCAAGGTCATGACATCAGGAAGCAGGGTGTGTACCAGCTAACAGAGAATCCCACAAGTCCTGGGAATCCACCAATCCAGACCTGCCTCAAGCTGGTAACCCAAGAACCCTTGTTCTCAGGACTATAGAGAGTGAAGAGATGAGGAAAGGGGGCCAGGAGTCCCCAGCAGTGCTGGCTAGGCCAGCCTGTGAGCAGACTGTGGCTGAGTCATGTTACAAATCTACAATCCATGTATATACTCTGTTTATTCTGCTTGCATTGGTTTATAAGGAAAGAATGCTTCTGAAAAAAACCTCTATTCTTGTCTCAGCTGAATTGAGAGAAGGGGATTTTCCACACCTCTGTTCCGATACACCATCTCCAGTGGAACTTGGCAGACGCTTCCTCACTTAAAAGCTACCTTCCCCCCACCAAAAAAAGAGGAACTCAGAGTGGAGACCCCATTCATTAATTCTTTGAATCTTAGCCATTTACTGAAAACATAATGTTATGTGTTAGACATGGTTCTGGATGCTAGAAGAAAAGGATGAAACAGAGCTCAATGATTTCTCCTGGGCCCTATGAGAGAGTGATCTGGGCCACTCTCTTATAGGGCACAGGAGGTTCATCTTACCCAAAAGATGACAGTAAAAAATATCAAGGCATTAGACACCTAGGCCAAAATCACAATGGGACAATTCACCCTGTAGCCTGACTTACTTTTACCAATTTAATTTGTAAAGAACAAGAAAGAAGAGAAAAGCTGGAGAGAGACAGCCAAATTAAAGAGGCTGTGGTTTGTGGTTCCCTAGATGCAGGGAAGATGAAAATCCCGATTCCTAATACCTAGGCCATAAGCTCCTTTGAGGCTCAGGCCTAGAATCTGGCAGCCTTCCTTCCGCTTTTCCCACTCTATCCTAGGGTTGCTGCCCTGTCAACAGAAAAGCAATTACTTGTTAGAACAAACAATCATCATCATCATAACGAATAATAAACAAATTGCTCCTAGGATGGAACCCGGCATTTTTTTCTCCAATTAAAGTTTATTGAGCACTTGCTGGGTGCTGGACACCACTGTCAACAATGTAGGCGTTCCCACATTTAAGCCTAAAACAGAACTGTAAGCAGCAATAATATCCTCAATTTTAATATACAAGGAAACTGACCCAAGCAAGCACAGGCCAGAGATAACAAGTGTCTTGTTGAGATCAGGGAGCCCAGAGCTGCCTGGCTCTGCATCCTGGCAGCCACTTAGTAGCTGTTGTTAGCAATGACCCGGGAAAATTCACTGATTCTTCATACTTCAGTTTCCTCACCTAGAATGTGGGGAGGATAAGGATACCTACTTCACAGGATTACTGCACAAGTAAAATGGGTTAATCCTCATCAAATTGCTAGAACGCTGCCTGGCCCACAGCAAGGCTTGGCAAGCATGAGCTACTATGATTTCACCCAGGACTCTGAAGCCCTGGGTCTTGAAAACTCCAGCCCACTGCTTCTCGCATCTTCCTACAAGTATAGCCACACTAGCATTTCCTACACTGGGATTGAGGACCCAGGAGAAATTCATAAAGCAGGTAATATGTTAGGTAGGGCCAGACTAGCTGATGAAAGGATAAGAAGGTAGGAAGGTGGAGGCAGAGCTTTGGAGAAAAGAATTGCCGGGACGTGTAACTGACATGAAAGCAACCCCTCAGCCTCAGCAGCCCCCATATGCCATCTGTTTCACATATTGGACTTCCATGCCTGGTTTCATTTGAAAACAGAATTCTGCTGCTACCAACCACCACCACAAGCCACTGAGCTAGAAAAAGGGAAGCCGGGAGCTGAGGGTAATGTGAAGGGGACACTTACACGGGGCCTGACCAAAATGAGAAACTGGGCGTGAAGTTCAGCCAGAAGCCAAAAGGAGCCATAACAGGGGGAAAAAATGGGGAAGCACTGACTGGTCTACATTATCTCACCCTTTCTCCCTCCCAGGCTGACCAGCTGAGACACCACCCCAGTTGACAGGATTTCCTGTTATTACACAGACCTGCGATCTCACGCCTCACCGTCTTGTCAACTCAACTTCCCACTTCTGTGGGCTTAAAGGTAAAGGAGGCATTACTAAAAGCTGGAATCAAGCTGGTGGAGAGGCGCAGGGACAGCAGGATGGCAGCAGAGTGGGCAAGCGCGGAAGTGACAGAGGGAAATCACCTCGGATGGAGTCAGTCTGCCTTGCACACAGAGAAAGACCCAAGGTGGCAAAATCCCGCTGCTTGTCCCAACTCTCTTCCCACATGAGGTTAAAGACGATGAGGCAGCTTGCAAGAAGTGCTGCAGGTTAGCCAAGATGAGTTGGAATAACCATATCAGTAGTTAATATTTCTGCGCCATCTGGCAAGTAGGGTTTGCCCCAAGTTCTCTGGCCCTGCACCCTGGCCCTTTGGTGAGATCCGCCCAGACCGCCTCAAGATCCAGGAACAGCAGGGGTCCTCCAGAGTCCTGTGCCCAGTGCTGTAGCTGGTCAGTGCCCATCTAGCCTGACTGCTGAATGCTCTGAAATCACCCACCTCACTTCTGCAATAGGATATGTTTCAAGGAGGCAGCTTCTCTTAAGCAGGAACAGATAGAAAGGCCCCCTCCCCTTCTCTGGTCCATTCCATGGGAGCCCATGGGAGGTGGTGTCCTTGACTCAGGACATGGAGTACTCACACCCTTCGGGTGTCGGCATCCTAGTGGGTGGCAGTGGGAATAGTGAGAAACATGGAGGAAACTGACGAAGAGCATTTATTGAGCTCCTAGTTATGTGGCACACTATGCTCGGCAGTCTGCACACAGAATCTCAAATTCTCCAACAGCCTCACAGGTAGGAGTGTATCCTCATTTTGCAGATAAGATCGATGCTCAGAGCTTTGCCAGGGGCCATACATTGGTAGATCCCAACTCAAATGGAGGCCAACCTAATCAGGCAGTGGTACCCCCCATGCCACAGGGGCAGGCAGGCAAAGAAGGGAGGCAAGTGAGTGTGTACTGTAAGGACCAAGAAAGTCCCTCTAAAGCCAGCAGCCAGGCCTCAGCTCCCCTGACAGGCTCCACACCAGACCGTGAGTCCAGTGCCCAGATCTGACCTTTCCAGAGAGGCCGGAAACCTGGAGTTCTAGGTGAGATGTCCAGATTTCTAAACAACTTTTAGGCCAAACCACATGCGCCAACCCCATGGGTTTCCAATCTGCCATTTCTAACAACCCTTCTTAACCTGAAAGCCAAGTCTGTTTCTCAGCCACAGCAGGTACAAGGTAGTAACACATCATCAGGCAGAGTCACCCAGACCAAGAAGAGCCCTCATCTTAATCCCTCCAAAACTAGGCTCCTCAGAAGGGCAATGCCCCCCTTACCTCATGATCTATTCATGAACCTATGTCCAGGTACATCAAGCCCAAATCTGGATAATGCCAGCTCTGTGTGGCTCTTGCAGCCCACTTACTAAGGGTTTAAGCATGTGGGAGGCTTGGGTTCAAATCCCAGCTCAGGCACTTACTGGCTACATGACTCTGGGTGAGTTATTCCACCTCTCTGTATCTGTACTTCCTCCTTGTAAGACAGGGATACAGTATCTATCTCACAGGGTGTGGGGAGTTTTAAAAGAGTTGACACATATGAAGCACTTGGAACCTGGCATATACTAAAAGGCTAAGCAAGTGTCTGCAGTTATCATTACCTCGTGGCATCAGGCCTGGGACTGGTCTATGGCATCAGCCTGTGAGCTGGATCCAGGCTCACCTTCCTCCCGTCCCCTCCCAGCTCTTCCCCCCTACTGTGGGTCCCCCTCTCTTACAGTCAACACTCTGTTAAAGAGATGGAAAAATCGGAGGTGGATTTCCCTTTGGGTTTCAGGCAACCAACTGACTCAGAAGGAAGATATTTCAACTCAGACCTGTCAGAGATCAAACACAATTCTTGGAACCTCCTCTTTCCTTGAAAATCTCTGGGGTTTTCTTCACACCACCTCCCCCCTCCCAACAAGAACAGAAGCAGGGTGGTTGGAGAGAGAAGGAAAATGTGCGTTTCCTGTCTCAGGCCGGCTGCAGATAACTGATCTCTGGTTTCCGGAAACTTCATCTCTGAGCATTTATTTCTGCCGAGAAAAAGTCCTCCCAGGGAGTTTGAGGAGGCAGGAGGGCATGGAGTGAGTGGTGGTGGCAAGAACGTTAGATCCTCAACTGCCCTTTCTGCCTGCTCCCACTTCTGATTTCAACTTGGATATCATTTTCTCCTAGGTCTAATTGTGTGCCCATCCTCCACATGCCCCCAGCACTCCAGATTCCACCATCACCCCTCTAAAAGCGTTGCCTGAGAACTACCTGCCCAGTTCCTCTCTCATTCTGCTGTAAGATCTCCAAGACACAAACCACCTACTCAATGACCACCCCAGTATACAGCCCAGTACTGGGCAGAGCACTCCACATTTATTCAATAAATAAATCAATGAATCAATGGCCCCTGCTTCGACACACACACCCCAACACTCAAAGACTGAAAGCACTTATAAGAACATTGGCAAGCAGGTTCTTCAAAGAACCAGCAAACATCAGTCTTGCTTTTTTCACACTTTTCTAATTCTTCTCGGTTACATAAAATCAGTGGGAGAGGTGGCAGAAAAGACTGTTTAGGGAGAGTGTGCTCTTGTGTCAGCTTAGCTGCTCTTGTTCTTGGAAGGGCTCATGAAACCCAAACCTCTAACCCAGACTTTTCCTCGCTGCCAAAATGCAGCCACATCAGGGGTGAGGCTGGAGAGGGGTGTTAAAAACCGCACTAACACCCCATTGAGAATTCAAAACAAGAAGACTCCCAGAATCAGCCCGAACTCTGGCAGATGGAAATTTAGGGAAGCCAGAATTGTTGATTGGGATGCCTGGGGATTTAGCTAGAATACGTCTATTCTGAAAGGTCATTTTCTTGCCTTGAGAGATATTACAATGTGCAAGCTGTGCCTAAGGCAGTTTCAATGGGAAATATTCTGATTTATGGTTTTCATATCAATAGACCATGTGCCCTGACTTTTACATGGGACAACATTGGCCGCTATATTGAGGTGAGACGTTTCTGATGGATTTTTTTTTTTTTTGAGACAAATTCTCTCTCTGTCCCCCAGGCTGGAGTGCAGTGTGGCACGATCTTGGCTCACTGCAACCTCTGTCTCCCAGGTTCAAGCGATTCTCCTGCCTCAGCCTCCCAAAAATAGCTGGCTGGGATTACAGGCGCACACCACCACACCTGGCTAATTTTTGTATTTTTAGTAGAGTCAGGGTTTTGCCATGCTGGCCAGGCTGGTCTCAAACTCCTGACCTCAGGTGATCCACCTGCCTTGGCCTCTCAAAGTTCTGGGACTACGGGGTGAGCCACCGCACCTGGCCTGACAGATTTATTCTTAAAGGGTGGAGAAACCTGTCTTTGGATCCAATACTGTGTTTTAGAATTTGACCATCCTCAGTCCCAAGTTCTTCCTCATAATTACTTCAAAGTCTATCTGCTAACATTTAAACTAGAGTCTATTTTCAAAGACATGTCTTAAATGGAAAGGCCACTTATAATAATGACTGCATTACAAGACTCAGTTACATAAAACATCTACCTTCCTAGTCATCCTTTGCATTGGCTACTATTTAAATAAATTTGTATTTCCCAGGTACATACTAACCCTACAGATAGAAAGTGGCCAGGGTGGCTGGGATGAGTGACCCAAAGAATCTGATTTAGGCTTTGACTCCAGACTTGGATACTCCATCAAAAAGTTTATTACCATTTGGGTTCAGTAGAATGGAGAACTGAAAAAGTCATTTCCTCTTGTTCTTTTCTCTGTGGAAAGGAGAAACAGCTGGCTCTCCTTGTAAGAACTTAGCCTCACCCAAACTTCAACTCCAGGCACCACTCTTTGAGGATTCTGTCCCAGACTCTCTAGTTCAAAGTGAGCTCACCTCATCCAAACTGCTGGAGAAGTTTTTTCTGAGACAGGATCTTGCTCTGTTGCCCAGGCTGGAGTGCAGTATGCATCATCACGCCCAGCTTTTCATTTTATTTGTATTTTTTGTAGAAACTGGGGTTTCATTAAAGCTGGTCTCAAACACTTGGACTCAAGCGATCCTCCTGCCTCAGCCTCCCAAAGAGCTGGGATTACAGGTGGGAGCATGACACCTGGCCTGGAGAGGGTTATACACAGCACTATTCATGGGGCAATTCATCACGTTGGCCTGTGTTCTCATGCCTCGTACTCACCCATTATGTATCACTTTACTATTTCTTAACTGTTCACAGTAATAAGAATCATATGGCTAATATTTATTAAACCTTTATTAAATTACCAGACCCTGTGCTAAGGATGCTTTTAGCATTATCTCAATCCTCCCAATGACCATGAGGTTAGTGCTATTATTATCCTCATTTCATAAAAGACAAAACAGACTTAGAAAAATGAAGTCACTTGCCCAAGGTCACACAGCTAGCCCAGTCTTGATCCCTGGTCTCTCTGAATCCAGAAACTGCTCTCTTTGGTTAAAAATTTCCATTAAACTTAGCACAAACCCTCTTGCATATAACAGGACTGTCACAACTGAAAAATGGGCTGAAGAACTGAGGCTTCTCTGTTTGCACATCTCTTTCTGACATCCCTACCATCCTGTGCCCCACCCTCTCCACCAATCCTGCCTCAACCATGTTGAGTTGATAGATCTGTTCTGCAAACAAGTCTTCCAAAAGGAAAATCAAAACCCAAGTGTCTACTTGAATGTAACCAGAGAGCAGCCTATTTCAGTGTTTAAGATGCTGGAATAAAGGCAGCTGTGTTTACCTCCACACAGGCACTTGCTGATGTGGGAGGGCTAGCTTCATTCAACTTGAGACATCCAGGTCACGTCAATGCCTGGGAGATACTTCACATCTTCAGTTATATTCTGTGTCTCTGATGTGAAAGCCTATCTCCATCCTCTGGCCTTCTCTAAAATAGTGTGGCTAGAATGTAAGGTACAGAAACATGGGGAAGGAAAGCTCTGATTTTTTTTTTAAGCTTTGGCTTATTCTGGGCTCAATTTATATCTGGGCACATAGTTTCAAACCTCAACCATATGTATTTCCCACTAGTCTGAAAAATCAGTCAAGACACAGAGGAACATCTAGCAGCCCTAACCCCAACACTGGAAAGGAGGGCTGGGGGAGTGTCATGCTCCTCATGATGAGTGTTAGTCACAGGATGTGATAAGAGATGGGCTCACAGAGACCTCGGGAAAGGAACGATGGCAAAAAAAAAAAGATCAGGAACCATCAACTTAATCCTTCTCCCAACATAAGACCTCTCTTTCTGACACTACAATATAGTGCAAAGAACAAAGGTGTTGCTATGAGTCCCCCCAAAATTTATATGTCAAAGCCTTAACCCCCAATTTGATGGGATTTGGAGATGGGCCTTTGAGAGATACTTGGGTTTAGATGAGGTCATAAGAGTAGGGCCCACATGATTAGTGTCCTTATAAGGGACATCAGAGAGCTCTCTCTCCCCATCAAGTACAAAAGAGGTCATGTGTACACACAGTACACATCTTCCAGTCGGGAAGAGGGCCATCACCAGGAATGTAAATGACCGGCACCTTGATCTTGGACTTCCCAGCCTCCAGGACATTGAGAAATAAATTTTTGTTGTTTAAGTCATCCAGTCTATGGTATTTGTTATGGCAGCCCCGGTAGACTACTACAGGTATCTAAGTCAGAAAGGAGTTCAAATCCTTTTGCCACTGCTCATTGCTGTGTGACTTTTATTTAATTTCTCTAATGCATGATTTTCTCATTTATCAACTACTCATAACAAAGGGCTGTGGGGAGGGTTGAATGTGTTGATGGAGGAGAAAGGCACCTAGCATTTTCTGGGACTCAACACTCTGAAGCAGCAATGCCTCCCCAATGCATGCAATGGCTGGTGTTATAAAAGGGCAGCTTCTTGGCCATATTCAATCCACAGATGTGTTTTGTTTGGCCTGCACCAATGTTTGGGGAAATTTGGATTATTTACCAACATTTAAAAGTCAGAAAATTTACATAAACATCTCAATTTCCAGTTCTTCTTGAAAAATAAGAGATGTATCAGTGGGCCTGTGTTCTACCAGGGTAATCCTCTTTTGACAGAGGGCACGATCTCACTGCCAGGCATCCACGCCAGCTTCACCCATTCAGAAGACCTGCTTGGTACCTGAAGTCTTTTGAGTTAGCAGCTCCTGGGCTACCTGGGCTGGTGAAATCTGGCTTGACCTGTACCTCTCCCAGCTGTCCACAAACAGAGCTTTTAAGTACAATTTCAGGATCAGCCTCCCAAAGTGAAAAACAATTAGCACATTCCTGAGTCACTGTTTTATTTATTTATACTTCTATTGTGAACTAAAGAACCTCATGGAAAGGCCAGAATTTTAGTTCTTGGAGAAAAATGAAACTTCGCAACGTGTGTGTTGGCTGACCCCACTTTGCCCCTGTCACTCAACTTCTTGGGGCCTCAGTTTCCTCCTTTGTAAAATGAGGCCTTGGGCTAGATATCTTTTGTCTTTTTCCATATTTATGTAAGTAAGATGTGAAATTCAAGAACATGGATGGAAATTTAATACAATTCTAAAGACTTTAATGAAAGTAGAGCTCTTAAAACACCTCAATGACCTTAATGCAGGCCTTAACTAACAGTAAACAGGAACAGAACAATGGACTTGTTTATTGTTCTGCCCACTCCAGGGTTGGGTCTTTAGCCTTGAAGTTCTGCACTTAACATATCCAGAAACGAATGAATACCAGGACATGAAAAGACCTGATGGAGGCCAGGCACAGTGGCTCACGCCTGTAATCCCAGCACTTTGGGAGGCTGAGGTGGGTGGATCACGAGGTCAGGAGTTCAAGACCAGCCTGACCAAGATGATGAAACCTCGTCTCTACTAAAAATACTAAAATTAGCCAGGCATGGTGGTGGGCACCTGTGATCCCAGCTCAGGAGACTGAGGCAGGGAATTGCTTGATCCCAGGAAGCAGAGGTTGCAGTGAGCCCAGATGGTACCACTGCACTCCAGCCTGGGTAACAGAGCAAGACTCCGTTTAAAAAAAAAAAAAAAAAAAAAAGACCTGATGGATCGATCTCCTGTCCCTAGAAGATCCTGGTGCTCTGAGCCCTGCCTGACTTGCTGCTCTCATTTCACCAAAACATAGACCTAACTGCACAACTACTCAACTTCTGGTGCTCTATGCACATGGATGGGCCTTCTTTTGGTTCCTTGCTCATTGCAACCAGAGGAACTTTGCATGCGCAGTTTCTACCAACTGGAGCCCTGTTCACCTAGGTAATTTCCATGGATGTTTCAGATCACAGCAGCAGCATCACATCCACCATTCCTGGCCTCCTTGACAAAAATCAAGTCATTTTAACATATGCTTTCATCACAGCAGCTGTGTTGGAGTAGCTGTCTTAGTTGCATGTTTACATTTCACATGTGTGGCTAGTTGACTAATGATTCTCTTCCCAATGAATATAAATTCCAGGAGGGCAAGGTCCATGTCTGTCTTTGGTCCTTGCTGTCTCTCCAGTGCCTGGCCAACAGAGACGCACTCAAATGTTTGCTGGTAAGTCACTTAGTAAAAGGAAGAACACAATAAAACCTCAAGCAGTCTGGTTCCAACAACTAAGCTGAATTGCCTATTATGGTGCCTAATGGTTAGGAAGGGCACAATAAATGCTTACAGAATAAATGACAGCTGCCATCTATCAACTCTCCACCCCTTCCCCTACAAAACACACTACATACTGAACAAATGATTCTCTATGGATCAGAAGTCTAGACAGACACAGGTCTCAGAACGCAACAGCCATGAAAGCAGCATAGCTGACAGAAGAAGCAATAAGAATCAAGCAGGAAAAAAAAAAAAAAAACCCTTAAGGCTCCTAAGGCGGTAGCCCCTATGCCCCTGCTCAGGTTTATAGGGGAAAATGGCACCAAGTCTGGCCTGCCACATACCTGATGTTTTCGTTCAGGGCATAGAGCTCGTTGCTTTGCAAGCCACCCCCTTTGAAAACGTTGATCACAGCAGTCTGAACGCTACAGGAAAAGAGAATAACCCCTGGTTAGAGAATCTCCCTTCTTGGGCCATTTCAATAGCAGCTCAGGGCTGAAGGTGTGTGGAGTGACCAGGAAGCTCATAGCACAAACCTGGCCACACTCTCCATCCATCCTCCATTTCCTCAGTGTCCTTGGAGAGAAAGGAAGACCAAAGGCGAAAGGACTCAAAAGCAGCCCCCGCTTTCTTGCAAGCCAGCAGGTCTTCCTCCCTCACCTCGCTGGCGGCCCTGCTGGTGCAGCCACAGTCAAAGGCAGCCAGTGGGATCTGATCGCAGGAAACTGCATGGACCTGGGAGATTCCAAATGGCATTTCCTGCAAGCAGAAGCTGACCCATGCCTGCGGTTCTTTCACAGCCACTGTCTTCACAGGGAAGCTTGGTGGCCTTGAGCTAACATGAACCGGTAAGTCCTTTCCTTTTTAACAGCACTTTCCTTGGAAGAATTTCTCGCAGGCCAGCCTTACAGGCTCCTCACATGTCCACTCGTGTGAGGTGTACCGGCAGTAGAGTTAGTCCCTTGAGAGGCCATATCAGGGCTTACTCCACAGCCTCTGGGACGACAGCCCAGTGTTTCAGCAAAGGAGCTGCTTACAATCTTGTCTATATTAAGGCCCCTGGCCTTTCCTTTAAAGAACAGGGATCCATTTAACACCAAAACATTTTGGAGCCCCCTCTCTCCATCCCTATCATCAGAGTCCTGCTTTCTGTGTCCATTCATTTAAAATATCCATAATGGGCTGGGCACAGTGGCTCACGCCTGTAATCCCAGCACTTTGGGAGGCAGAGGCAGGTGGATCACTTGAGGTCAGGAGTTCGAGACCAGTCTGGCCAACATGGTGAAATCCCGTCTCTACTAAAAATACAAAATCAGTCAGGTGTGGTGGCACGCACTTGTAAACCCAGCTACTTAGGAGGCTGAGGCAGGAGAATCGCTTGAACCTGGGAGGCAGAGATTGCAGTTAGCCAAGATTGCACCACTGCACTCCAGCCTGGGTAACAGAGCAAGATTGTCTCAAGAAAAGAAAAAAGAGAAAAGATCCATAACGATCCAAACTACAAAGAATTCAGTCATGCTTCAAAATAATGATGCATTTAATTACTCCAAACAGTGTCTGCAAAGATTTGAAAAACAGTAGCCCACAAGCATATAAGACATAGTGCTGATTCAGTCTGCTCAATTCTTGGTGCACAAAAGGTTGGCTAGACACCTAACAAAACTCTGTGCCTCCTCTTCCAAGCACCTGTGGCTCACAGGTCTTCATAATCTTGGGTTTATGCCAATCATTTAATTTTTCACAGACATGTTTTATCTTCCCAAGTGGGAAGTAGGTTACTTAAGGTTTCTTATAGAAGCCCACTCTCGGATAGGCTGACAGTTTCAGGTGTGACTAATGAGCATGAATAGTGACCGTAAATTCCAGTGCAACTGTCCCAGTCTGGTAAACTGACTCTAACAGGCCAGAGGCCCTCAGTGGTCTATTTTCTGGCTACTGAAACAAAGAAAGCTAACAGACACGCTGGATATTAAAAAAAACTTGCTCTCTTGGCCAGGTGCAGTAGCTCACACCCATAATCCCAGCGCTTTGGAAGGCCGAGGTGGGAGTGATCCCTTGAGGCCAGGAGTTCAAGGCCAGCCTGGGCAGTATAGTGAGACCCCATCTCTTTAAAAAAAAATTGCTTTTTTAATTAGCTGGGTGTGGTGGCATGTGCCTGTAGTCCCAGCTACTCGGGAGGCTGGGGCAGGAGGATCGCCCGAGCCCAGAAGTTTGAGGCTGCAGTGAACTATAATTGCACGACTGCACTCCAGCCTGGGTGACAGAGTGAGACCCTGTCTCTTAAAAAAGGAAAAAAAGAAAATTTGCTCTCGTCATTATTTACCCCCATAATCACGGCCTTCCCAGAATCAGCAGAAGCTCAGTCAGCCCCCGGATGCCTCCCTCCCTGCCATGGCCCTTGGCAGCCCTCCACCCCACATCCTGCAGCCTCCTTCACCTGTTCCAGGCTGAGCTGGAGCTCAGCTGCAGAGCCTGCCGAGCTGCTTGGAATCGGGGAAGGTCGCTGAGCACGGGGGAGCTCATGAAGCGCGGTCTAGGCCTGCGGAAGGAGCCCATCTTGTGGAACTCGACGGGCAGAATGGGAGCGAAGCCGCGGGTCATAAGTCCTGGTGACAGTTCAGCTTCACCTCTAGGACCAGAAGGTTCCGAATGCCCTCGGAAAGGGCTTCTCCAGGGGCTGCCTTCAGGCCCTCAGGCTTTCTTAAAACCACAAACGTAGCCAACACCTGAAAAGAGAGGGAAGCTTTTATTGAGAACTCCTGGCCTGAGAACACCTCTTAGAGGAAGTTGGCTGGGACTTTCCAGCCTAACTACCCCGAAAACAACTGCGGGACCCAGCAATAGCATCTATTCCCTGGCAGGTTCCCATTCACAAGTTTGCACAGGGCTCTTTTCGGTTGTAACAGTGTGGTCACCCTCAAGTGGGAAGACAGTGACAATGGGGCCAGCCTAAGGCCAGTCCTGCAGAAAAATGATTTCTAAGCTGTGCTAGACTCTGGTTCCAATATGCAGCCATCAGTTTGAGCACTGCCTGGGTTCCTGTGGCCCACGATGTTGTGCAGTAAGAGATGGATTTTTAAAAAATGTCTCAAGGAGGACACAAGAGCTCCTCATCCTGGCATTGATGACCATCCATGATATGCCCTTACCAAGCCAGTCTGCATATATTGCTCAGTTTTTCTCAAAGTATCAGTGACTCTTCACTCAAGCACATCTCACCTTCCCTTACCTGCTGTTCCTTCACTCATTTCATCAGGACACACTCACTGAGTGTTTGCTATTTATTAACCACTGTGAGTTGCAGAACATCCAAAGATTTCTAAGACCAAATCCCTGCTCTCAGGGTACTCAGCCTATGGAGAAGATAACAGTCTTTTCAAGTATTCACTCATGCAATAAATATTTATTGAGCAGCTACTATGCATAGCCACTCAGGCACTGGGAGATATAAGATGGCTCCAGAGGCCCTGGTGCCCTGCCCCGTGGAGCTCGCAACCAGCAGGCACTCTTCTATGTCATGCACAGTCCTTCCCCCACACTTTTGCTCGTACCAACTACTCCTCTTGCCCAGAATTCTCTTCCTTTTTCCCTCTGCTTATTTAAACCCAACTCGCCCTGCAGGGTTGGGTTCAAGGACACTGTCCCCTTGTAGCAGTTGCTGGGAGACTTCATGGCTTCGCGGTTAAAGGCAGTGGCTTCAGGTTTGAGTCTTAACTTGGCCACTCCCAAGTTGTGTGACTTTGAACACACTGAGTCTGAAGTCCTCAGCTGTTACTAATGCCCACTTTCCAGGACTGGAGAGATGAAATGAGATCATGTGACATGGCTGGCAGAATGGCGGAGCCATGGGCCTCAAGGACTGGCTATTTCCATTCAGATGAATTTCTTTCTTTCCTTTACACCTTTGGACCTGTAATTTCAGTCTCTTATTCTTTAGTGACTCTAAAGTCTAAATGAATGACTTAAAAGGCGAGAATTAGAGTTCAGCAGAGTGAAGGACAAAAGGAAACACCACGAATCTCATAGTCACTTTTTACTTGACGGTTTAGTAGGTTTAGCCCAGAAGTGTTTTCACTGCCATCTCTCTCACCAGCTAACTCTGCTATGTCCCAAAAACTAATGATGCAAGAAAAAGATATTCTAGCCTTAAGTCAACCTTCAGGTTGCCAGGGGAGAAGATTTTTGCAGCTCCAGCTGGTTAGCACTTGAAGAAGGAGGAACCGAAGTCTCACCTCCAAATCAAACATGCTGTTGTGGTCAGAAGAGTGAGTTAAGCCACTCAGATGGGCATGGAGGCAAGCCATCGAGAGGGCACGGGAGGTGTTAGCAGCTATCTGCAGGCAACAGGCATAGCAACAAGGAACTTGTAATACGAAGAGGCAGAAAAGAAATGGCTTGTCCTGTCTCTTAACTTTTTTCTTTTAAGGAAAGCAGACTTATGTCCTGTTTTCCTGTACAGTCTTTGCCCCTTCACCCCCTGCTCAGAATGAGTTCAACAGTTTTGTTAAACTTTATTAACAAAAGAAGCATAACAGGCTGTCAAGTTTCAGAAGGCCTCAGCAGCTTCATAAATGCCACTGCAACGTGGAAAGATCTACACAAACCAAAAAATGAGGTGATGAAGAAATAAAGCCACAGAAGGTCCTTCCATATCCTTAAATTGGCTAGCTTTGGGATTTAACTCACCCAGTAAAGGTCACACTACTAAGACAGGATCCATTTCGCTGCCATTCTTCAAATGGACCTGCTAAATGCAATTCACCTGTGTAATTACAGGATATTAACTCCCTTTATGAGGATCTTAAACGAGTTAATGGAGCTGCCTCTCATTCCATGGCACTGGTACAGGGAAGTAGAAAAGTGAGCAGAATGGATCGTTCCAGGTGTTTACCCACCATCTTCCTGCCGAAACATCCACTTCTCCAGGAAACTGTAAGACACTGAGGACCGCAGGCTGGCTCCTGTCCCCGTCCACTTCTCAGTTAGTGTTCCCAGGCTGCCTAGTCCAGCAAAGCGCCTGGGCAGCCACAACCACGCACTCAGCCTCTCTTAAATAAGGGTCATTTTCAGCCTACGACTATGGCTCCCGCGGACTCAGATAAACTGCACAGTCACACACAACGAGTTGCCACTGACTCATTTTTCTCCTCCCGAATCCGCCACTCTCAATCCTGACAGCTGAAGAGAATGTGAAGCTGTCTTTGTCTCCACTGTTCCTACTGCCGGGCAGAGCCAAGAGACCTCCCCAGAGCAGCACAGGGAGGAAGGAGGAGGCCGTTGGGAGCATTGACAAGAGTGGCCTAAAGGGAAACGCTGATACACCCTGGGTTCACCTGCTACAGCGCTGGCCCGGCAGGCGCGGGCCTGTCCTGACCTATATCTGACAAGTCAGAAAATGACAGAACAGATGGGGCCTCGGAGTGGGGCCAGTCCAGGTCCCATTGACAGATGACAAAGGTATAGCAAAGAAGCAAAGAAACACATCCAAGGTGCTCGAGGCAGGAAGAGAGCCAGGACTGTGAGAGCTATTCCCCGACACCTGTTTGAGCATGTTCCCCAGCTCCCACCTAGGCCATTCTGCAAATTCCTTGAAGACAGGCATCGGGCTTTATTCACCTCTATATCCTCAAGACTAAGCTCACTGCTTAGCCTGGAATCCCAGCACTTTGGGAGGCCGAGGTGGGTGGATCACCTGAGGTCAGGAGTTCGAGACCAGCCTGACCAACATGGAGAAACCCCATCTCTACTAAAAATACAAAATGAGCCGGGCATGGGGGCGCATGCCTTTAATCCCGGCGACTCGGGGGGCTGAGGCAGGAGAATCGCTTGAACCTGAGAGGCAGAGGTTGCGGTGATCCGAGATCGTGCCATTGCACTATAGCCTGGGCAACAAGAGCGAAACTCGTCTCAAAAAAAAACAAAAAAAGAAAGAAAAGAAAGAAAAAGATGAAGGAAAAGAATTAAGAAGGCATTGGCTAGGCCAGGCACAGTCACTCACGTCTGTAATCCCGGCCAAGGCAGGCGGATCACCTGAGGTCAGGAGTTCGAGATCAGCCTGGTCAATATGGCAAAACCCTGTCTCTATTAAAAGTACAAAAATTAGCCGGGCATGGTGGTGCGTGCCTGTAGTCTCAGCTGCTCAGGAGGCTGAGGCAGGAGAATCGCTTGAATCCGAGAGGTGGAGGTTGCAGTGAGCCAAGATGGCACCACTGCACTCCAGCCTGGGCAACAAAGCAAGGCTTCTCTCTCAAAAAAAAAAAAAAAAAAAAAAAAAAAAAAGGCATCGGCTGCCTGGCTGACATGAAGCCAAGCATTGTCACAATACATAAACTTACTCAACCCTCACAAAATACCAGTTGAGCTGGGCACAGTGGCTCATGCCTGTAGTCCCAGCACTTTGGGAGGCCAAGATGGGTAGATCTCGAGGGCAGGAGTTCGAAATCAGACTGACCAACACGGTGAAACCCTGTCTCGACTAAAAATACAAAAATTAGCTGGGCGTGTTGGCGTGCCTGTAATCCTAGCTACTCAGGAGGCTGAGACAGGAGAATCGCTTGAACCCAGGAGGCAGGGGTTGCAGTGAGCCAAGATCGTGCCACTGCACTCCAGCCTGGGCAACAGAGCAAGACTCCATCTCAAAAAAAAAAAAAAAAAAGAAAAGAAAACTTGAACATCAGAGAAGTTAGGTAACCTACCCAAAGTCACACAGCTAGTGTGTGGCAGATCATTGACTGGTGCCTCATTCTCCAGCCCATTCCCACTTTTCCATGCTACCAAACTCAGCCAGAAAACTAGAATTGAAGCCACTAAGTTAGGAACTAAATTTCCTATCAAAAGTTCAATCTCATGCCCCTGAGATAAATAAGCTGGCATAAGGAACTCTATGACCATATTTGATGGGGCAAGAGGAGTGGTGAGAAAGGATGAAAGGAGAAAGAACAGCTGCCTTAGACACCCACTCCCTATGAGCTGTGTGACCTTGATCAAGTTACTTGACCTCTCTGAGTCTCAAATTCCTCCCACATGAAATGACCCTGAGTGACTACCTGAGGGTTGGAGGAGGATTAAATGGATAAATATTTGTCAAGCACTTAGAACTGTACCTGGCAAATAAGTGCTACATAAGAGCTCGTTCAATAAATAAAATCATGTTGTCGTAGTTATTTCTAAATTGCCAAGCCATGATAGCAGTGGGAATACAACAGCAGCTCCCTCTGCTTCTGGTGACGCAGTAGCGTCTGGAAATACTCCACTGAGGAGCAGACAAGTCCTCTGAGCCGCCATCCCCATCACAGTGCACCCAGGCTTGCCTCCTTAGCCCTTTAATAACTCATGACCTTATTTACTGACCCTACATCTCTGTGTAGCAAGTTCCTCAGTTTGAAAGTGTTTTTCTACACATGGTGTGCTTCTAAGTCTTACCTCAGTCCTGTAAGGCAGATGGAGCAGACAGTCTGTCACAAATTAGGAAACTGAGGCCTGAGCAGGCGCCTGACTTGGCCAAGCTTGGAAAGCTGTCAGGTCAGGGCTTCAGCCCCGGCCGGAAGTGTCCCAGACTCACGCCTGGCTCACTGTTGAGCCTGCCAGGAGATTCCTTTTTTCTTTTTTCCTATATATTTCAAAATATTTTCATTATGAAACATACTTTAAAAGTTTATACACACGCAAACATACATTTTAAATAATAATAATAGGCCAGGCATAGTGGCCCACGCCTATAATCCCAGCACTTTGGGAGGCTGAGGCGGGCGGACTGCTTGAGCCCAGGAGGTTGAGACCAGCCTGGGAAATGTAGTGAGACCCTGTCTCTACAAAAAATAAAAATAAAAATAAATTATTCAGGCATGGTAGTGTTTGCCCATATTCTTAGCTACTGAGGAGGCTAAGGCAGGATGATCGCTTGGGCCCAGGAGTTCAAGGTTACAGTGAGCTGTGATCATGTCACTGCACTCCACCCTAGGCAACGAAGCAAAACCCTGTTTCTATTAAAAAAAATAACTAATAAATAAATAATGATGAACTAGTACCTACTTAAGAAATAGAATGTTACCTTGGAAACTCTATGTGCCCCTATTTTTCTGATAATAGCATACTTGGTCATTTATTATAACAAACATAAGCATTCACATAACTCTATAACAAACATAGTGAAAGGCCTCTTTCTAGCCACTTAGCATAGAGCAGCTCTATCCTGTAGAACTTCAAGATGACAGAAATGTTCCGTATTTGTGCTGTCCAATATGGTAGCCACTAGCCATATATGGCTATTGAGAACTTGAAATGTGGCTAGTGCAACTGAGGAACTGAATTTTAATTTTATTTAATTGTTAATAGCTGCACACATGTGTACACACACATTCTTATTAATATCCTAAGAATGAGTAATGTTTTTCTTTCCTTCTAATAACACGTCATGGCCATCTTCCCATATCACTACATATTGATCTACTTTATTATGTTTAATGGTAGCTTGACTATTCCATTTAGGAGATATTACATTTTATTTAACCAGTCCCCTATGGGTAGATATTTAGGGAGTTTCCCCTTTTGTGGTTACTGTAAAGAATGAGCGAATCTGTGGGTCTTCGGGATGACATGACCATGTTTGTAAGGTGCCTTCTCAGCAATGGAACTTCTGAATCAAAGGGTCCAGAAATTCTTAGTTATGACTCCAATACCCACCCCCACCAGAGCCTAGAAATAGCATTGCAGAAAAGATGTTGAGAAGTATAATGCTTATAGCTCTGAAGGATGTACAGCCACAAATGTGTATCACTCAGAGCTCTGGGGGCAGATAAACCCTAAAATCAGTGGTCACTTTGCCATTCACTCACTGTGGTAGGCAGAAAAACATCTCCCCACCCCCCACAAAGATGCATACACTTGTCACCAAAACCTGTGAATATTATCTTATATGGCAAAAGATGCAATTCAGATAAGAATTTTGAGAAGAGAAGCTGGTCCCAGATTATCCAGGTGGGCCATAAACGCAATCACATGTGTCCTTATAAAGGGGATGCAGAAGTTACTAGAGACAGAAGAGGAGAAGACACAGACACGCATAGAGAAGAAGGTGATATGGAGACAGACGCAGGAACTGGAGTAATGCAGCCACCAGGAGCTGAAAGAGAAAAGAAGCAGATTCCCCCCTAGAGGGAATACAGCCCTGCCCCACCTTAATTCTGCACTTATGGCCTCCAGAACCATGAAAGAATAAATTTCTGTTGTTTGAAGCCATGAAGGCTGTGGTCATTTGTTATAGCAGCCACAAGAAACCAATAAACTCACAGTGTGACCTTGGACATCTCTGAGCTGCAGTTTCTACATCTGAAAAGTGAGAATAGGAAGAGTTACCTTGGAGAGCTGTGATGACCAGAAAGATTGTCTATGAAGTACTTTGCATGGTTCCTGGAACTGTATAGGTGCTAGACACAGGTGCAGTGGAGGCTGAGAGAAAAGGCACCCGAGTCAGGCTGGTGTCACCACTTCCTGTGGGGCATTGAGCAGGTGATTTAGGATTTGCAAGATATTGGATGAGATGACTCAAGTAGGGCTTAGAATACTCCTTGAACACAGCAAGTGCTTGATAAATGCTACCTATGGTTTCTTTTATTGCCTCCATTAGTACTACCCCTGTATTAGCCCGTTCAAACTGCTATTACAAAATACAGCAGGCTGCATGGCTTACACAACAGAAATTTGTTTTCTTACAGTTCTGGAGGCTAGAAGTCCACGATCAAGGTGTCAGCAGGGTTGATTTCCTTTGGGGTCTCTCTCCTTGGTTTACAGATGGCTGCCTTGTAGCCATGCCGTCACATGGTCTTTCCTCTGTGCACTCATGCCCTTGATGTTTCTCTTTATGTCCGAATTGCCTCTTCTAGGACACACACACAAAAATGGAAAGACATTCCATGTTCACTGATTGAAAGAATCGATATTGTTAAAATGTCCATACTATCTAAAGCAGTCTACAGATTGAATGCAATTCCAATCAAAATACTAATGACATTCTTCACAGAAATAGAAAAAACATCCTAAAATTTATATGAAACCATGAAAGACCCAGAATTGCCAAAGTCTCCAGAGCAAAAAGAACAAAACTGGAGGAATCACATTACCTGACTTCAAATTATACTACAGAGCTGTAGTAACCAAAACAGCATAGTACTGGCATAAAAAACAGACACACAGATTAGTGGAGCAGAATAGAGAACCTAGAAACAAATCCATACATTTAGAGTGAACTAATTTTTGACAAAGGTGCCAAGAACATACACTGAGGAAAGGACAGTCTCTTTAATAAATGGTGCTGGGAAAACTGGATATTCATATGCAGAAGAATGAAACTAGACCCCTATCTTATATATAAAAATCAAACCAAAATAGGTTAAAGACTTAAACCTAAGACCTTATACTATGAAACTACTAAAAGAAAGCATTAGGGAAACTCTCCAGGACATTGGACTGGGCAAAGATTTCTTGAGTAATACCCCACAAGCACAGGAAACCAAAGCAAAAATGGACAAATGAGATCACATTGAGCTAAAAAGCTTCTGCCCAGCAAAAGATACCAATCAACAAGGTGAAGAGACAACCCACAGAATGGGAGAAAATATTTGCAAACTATCCTTCTGACAAGGGATTAACAACCAGAACATATAAGAAGCTCAAACAACTCTATAGGAAAGAAATATAATAATCTGATTTTAAAATGGCCAAAATACCTGAATAGACATTTCTCAAAAGAAGACCTACAAATGGCAAACAGGTATATGAAAAGATGTGCAACATCATTTGATGTGGTTTGGCTCTGTGTCCCCACCCAAATCTCATGTTGAATTATAATCCCCATGTGTCAGGAGAGGGACCTGGTAGGAGGTGATTGGATCATGGAGGCAGTTTCCTCCATGCTGTTCTCATGAAAGTGAGTGAGTTCTCATGAGATCTGATGGTTTTAAAGTGTGTGGCAGTTCCAGCCTTGCTCTCTGTCTCTCTCTCCTGTCACTATGCTTTCCCTTTGCCTTCCCCCATGATTGTAAGTTTCCTGAGGCCTCCCTAGCCATGCGGAACTGTGAGTCAATTAAAACTCTGCTTTATAAATTACCCAGTCTCAGGTAGTTCTTTACAGCAGTGTGAAAATGGACTAATACATCATTGATCATCAGAGAAATGCAAATCAAAACTACAATGAGATATTATCTCCCCCTAATTAAAATGGCTTTTATGCAAAAGACAGGCAATAGCAAATGCCGGTGAGGATGTGAAGAAAAGGGAACCTTCATATACTGTTGGTGGGAATGTAAATTAGTGCAACCACTATAGAGAACAGTTTGGAGGTACCTCAAAAAACAAAAAATAGGGCTACCATATGATTCAGCAATCTCACTGCTGAGTATATACCCAAAAGAAAGGAAATCAGAATACAAAGGAGATATCTGCACTCCCATGTTTATTGCAGCACTATTCAAAATAGCCAAAATCTGTATGCAATCTAAGTGTCCATCAACAGACGAATGGATGAAGAAAATGTGGTACATGTACATAATGGAGTACTCTTCATCCATAAAAAAGAATGAGATCCTGTCATTTGCAACAACATGGGTGGAACTGGATATCATTATGTTAAGTGAAATAAGCCAGCCACAGAACAACAGACTTCACATGTTCTCATTTATTTGTGGTAGCTAAAAATTAAAATGATTGAACTCACGGAGACAGGAAAATGATGGTTACTAGAGACTTGGAAGGGGTAGTTGTGGTGGGAGGAAGGGGGGATGTTAAATGGGTAAAAAAATATAGTTAGGTAAAATGAACAAGATCTTGTACGTGATAGCACAATAGGGTGACTACAGTCAACTATATTTTAAAATAACTAAGAATATAATTGGAATGTTTGTAACACAAAGAAAGGAGAAATGCTTGAAGTGATGGATACCCCATTTACCCTGATGTGATTATTATGCATTGCATGCCTGTACCAAAATATCTCATGTACCCCATAAATATACACACTAAGTACCCACAAAAATTAAAAATTAAAAGAAATATTCTATGCCCAATGTCTCCAAGTTAGAGAAACTAGAATTTTGGTCCATATTTCTTTCGGAAGGACCAATGCCATTTACATTAAGAAAAATCCCCTTCAAAAGCAACTTAAAAGTTTTGGTGCTGAAAGGGTTAACTTCAGTTATCTGGAAAGCCCAGGCCCTGGGTCCGGGAAATTCGGTGGCAGTTACAGGGTTACTGGGAGGTATCACAGGCCTTGCTAACACTCAGCTTATATGAGTTTCATCAAAAACTTCCAAGATGTGTTTCTAGGAGAAAAAGAATGTGTCATCTCACTTTCTCCTCACAGCTGCCACGCCAGGGCATGGAGATGGGGCACAGCCCTGCCTGCTGGGGCAGTGGGTAGAGGAAGATGCTGCACTTAGTGGAAAATGCAAATGAATTCCACTAGGGCTCCAACCTTTGACTCTGAAAAGGGAAGTAGAATCATGGCCCAACAACTTAAAATAAAGAAGTGGGTGGCTTATAATAACTCTGAGGCTTCCAGGAAAAAGCCATTCTGAGTGTAAGTAACAAAGAAGTCAAAGAAAACAGCCATGCCATCTGATGTGCCTGCCTGGAAAACAAGGAGAAACTAGTTACCACGGAAACAAGAGAGATGGCCTCTTTTACACACAACCCTCGGAAGCTTCTGCAGTCAGAAAGCCCAGCGTGCAAATCCTTCCCTGGACCATGAACACAGGAATGACCCAATGTCCTTCCACACCACCAGGATTTAGATAATGATCGGTCAAACTCAACTGATCCATTCTCTAATTGCAGTCAGAATGGTCTTTCTAATGACAACCTTGATGATCATGATAGCACCATTTACTGACTGCCAACTGTGAGGCGGGCACTTGACATGTATTATCTCAGCATTTTAAAAATGAACTTAGAGGGTCTTGACTTTTAGTGAAATGGAATAGAAAATATCGGAGTGCATCACATTTGGAGAAAATAAATTTATTCATGATTACTGGGTTAAAATGCCTCATTTATTTCATACCTCATATGGCACTCAAAACTACATGAAAGCACCTGTTTGGAAGCACCTGTGTCTGATCTTACAACCACCAGAAGGCAGGTGCTATTACCAGCCCCAGCTTACAGAAAGGCAAATGGAGGTACAGAGTGTTTAACTTGTCTCAGGTAACACATCTCATGAGAAACGATGCTGGAACTAGAACCCAACAGTCCATAGCCCACAACGCTTATGTCACTCTTTGCTGCGATGCCTTCAACTGTTCCCCACAAGTCTTAGAATAAATTCACAAACTCCATCCTCACAGGCTCACTTCTCACCACTCTGAAGTCTGCTCATTGGCCTGCCTTCATGTCTTCCACCAGCACCTGCTCTGCCCCACCTCAGGACCCTTCCATGTGCTGTGGCCTCTATGTGAAATATTTCCCACCCAACTCTCCAGGTTCAAACCTGCACCCCCTTTATAGCCCACCTTCACTTGCTCAGAGACACCCTCCTTTCTCCTCACCCCTGATTAGGTTCCACCACCCCAGAGAGCACCCTCCCCACCTCCTTTGTCGTCTTGTCATAATCTGCCTTAATAAATGACTACAGAATTATTTGTTATAGGTTTGTGAGGCCCATAAGGGCAGGCACTGTCTGTCATGTTCTCAGGTACATCCCCAGGGCTTAGCACAGGGCCTAGTGAAGCAGGAATTCCACAGATATTCTCTGAATGAGTAAATGAGCCAGCTGTGTGTGAGGCATCATTGCTGAGAGACAGGAACCATAAGCAGGTGTCGGCTCAGAACATCAACATTTAAAATTACATGGGCATTTTGGGAGGCCAAGGCGGGTGGATCACCTGAGCTCAGGAGTTCGAGACCAGCCTGGCCAACATGGCGAAACCCCCGTCTCTACCAAAAATACAAAACTAGCCAGGTATGGTGGCGGGCGCCTGTAATCCCAGCTACTCAGGGGGCTGAGGCAGGAGAATTGCTTGAACCCAGAAGGCGGAGGTTGCAGTGAGCCGAGGTCGTGCCATTGCACTCCAGCCTGGGTGACAAGAGCAAAACTCTACCAAAAAAAAAAAAAAAAATACATGGGGCTTCACCATGGGTAAACACCATGGTACTGAAATCTGACTAACTTGGCTTCAAATCCAGCCTCTACAGCTTATTAGCTGGATGACCTGCGTATGTTCCTCATAGGCTCTGAATTTCAGTGTCCTTGTCTGTCAAATGGTTGTAATGCTTATGTGCACGTTGTTAAGATGAAAATGAGATAACCTAGATCACGGCCTCGCCCTGAGTAGGGGCGCAAAAAGCTATAGTTAGTATTAATATTTTTATACAACATTGTGTTCTTCACAAAACCCTCTTAGGCTTTGCAAGGTGATGGGTGGTGGGGTTGAGGGAGACAGGCACTTGAACGCATGGCTGGAGGGAGAGCAGTCTGAATTGACTGCTGTGGAAGGAAATGTGACAAGATCTACCGAAGTGACAAAGGCCATACCCTCTGACCAACAAATGTATTTCCAAGAATTTTATTCAAGGCACGTCAAGTGGCTTATGTAACATGGGTTTTTACTGCAGCCTTCTTTATAACAACAATGAGCTGGAAATAAGTGCTCACCAACAGGGAACTGGCCATATGTAAACTATGGTGTCCCATATACTGGAAGGTGATGCAGCTCTAAGAAAGAGCCGACCTTGAGCCGATCGTGGTGGCTTACGCCTGTAATCCCAGCACTTTGGGAGGCCGAGGCAGGCAGATCACGAGGTCAGGAGATCCAGACCATCCTAGCTAACACGGTGAAACCCCGTCTCTACTAAAAATACAAAAAAATCAGCCGGGCTTGGTGGCGGGCGCCTGTAGTCCCAGCTACTCCGGAGGCTGAGGCAGGAGAATGGCGTGAATCCGGGAGGCGGAGCTTGCAGTGAGCCGAGATCGCGCCACTGCATTCCAGCCTGGGCGACAGAGCGAGACTCCGTCTCAAAAAAAAAAAAAAAAAAGAAAGAAAGAGCCGACCTTGAATGAAAGAAAGGCTAAACACAGAGCCACGTGTACATTATGCTACCATCTATGTAAAAAGGATTAAAAAGAGCATTTACCCTTTTCACTGCATGTGCGTAAAATGTCTCTGGAAGGGCAAACCAGCAACAGATAACACTGGTTTCCCCTAGGGCAAGGAGCTGGGTAGCAGCGACACAGTAGGGAAGTCTTTTCTCTATAAGCCCTTTTGGACTTTTTGAATTCAGAAACATGAAAATGCCTTACTTCTTCAAATAAATAAATGTAAAGGCAATAGTGACTCCCCTAACCTCCTTTCCCCAAAAGGAAGACAACAAATAAAGGTCATATGATTTCTTCAAAGTCACCCAGCTGTTAGGAGGAAGTCAGGATTCAGCTTCTGATCCCAAGTTGGGCTCTAGCAATGACAGTTCATTCATTTGACACCAATTTTATTTATTCAGCATTTATTTCACAATAGGAGTGACCCTGTGCAGGAACATATGGGCTAGCAAATAAACACTGGCAGGAAAAGTAGATGAAAGGAAGAACCAATTTCTTTTCTTTTTTCTGCGCTATGCATCATAAATGGGCCGAAAGGGCCAGGCTGGGACCAGTTTAGGGAGTGAGGCAGGTGTGGACAGTAAGCTTGCTTTACTACCAGCACCTGCCCTGGCTAAAGGAGGCAGCCATTACTCAATCCGATCTGGTGTTTGCCATCTTAGGATATAAGCCTGGTTTTGCCAGATCTGATTTTTCCCAAGAAAGTCCAAAAATCCAAATTTTTAGAAATGTGAAATCACTGGATTTGTAAGTGTTGGCAACTAATTCACCAGGCCAACCAGCACTTTGAAGGCCAAACATGTAGGTTTGTGACCTTTATTCTACCCCATCACAGCTACAGCCTCCAGCCTTCTCAGACCTTTTATGTGGAGCCTAAGCCAGGTATAAGGTAAGCCTGCACTAATCAGTCCCTGTGGCCTTGGGCAAGTCACTTCACTTCTCTGGGTCTGCTGACTCACCATTCAATTAATGGTTTGGCCCAGCTGATGGCCACGATGATCTTTCACCATCTCTGGCTGTGCATTCAGCCCCTACCCTGGGAGCCATACACACTGAGAACCTTTGAGAGAGGAGGCAGGGGCTGATACCCTAACACAATACAAACTCAGAACCATCCCTCAGCCATGTTTGAACTCCCACCTACCACATCATCTAATTCACCAGCCTCTTAACTTGGCAGCTGTCTTATCTCACTGTCAGCCCATCACCGATTTCTTTTTTTTTATACTTTAAGTTCTAGGGTACATGTGCACAACGTGCAGGTTTGTTACATATGTATACATGTGCCATGTTGGTGTGCTACACCCATTAACTCATCGTTTACATTAGGTACATCTCCTAATGCTATCCTTCCTCCTCCCCACACTCCACGACAGGCCCCGGTGTGTGGTGTTCCCCACCCTGTGTCCAAGTGTTCTCATTGTTCAATTCCCACCTATGAATGAGAACATGCAGCCCATCACCGATTTCTCTATGAAGTCTTATGTATGACATACTCCCCTATGTATTATATACACACCCAGATACAGGGTAAGCCAGCAGCACCCAAGGTACTGCTAAAGGAAACACACAGAAGGCAGAACCCTCCAAGCCAGCATAGGAGACTAGATCTGGACCCCACGCCTGCCCCTGCGCCAGCCCATTGGATGGAAACCAGGTCACAAGCAGATTTTCAAAAGTGGTGGGGCCATTTGGTCAAATCAATTGTCAACCATGACTATTTTATTACCATTATGACTGCTGATTAGAATAATATTAACTATCATCAGAGGCTGGCCATGATGGTCAGGACTGTGTCAAGCCTCCATTTGCATCTATTCCCTCAGTTAATTTCTACTCTAAACCAAGGAGGTAGGTTTCATTAGGCTCATTTTGCAGATGAAGAAACCGAAGCATAGGGATTCACTTGCCCAAAGGCAGAAGACTAGGAAGAGGAACCAAGAGGCAAATCCTGTGTGATTCCAGAGCCTGAACTCCTGACCCCTGTCTTAAACAATGCAAGTGTGTGCCACACACAGAGCCGAGAGATTAAACGCCACCCATTTCTTCCCTGCATAAACATCACCCATAGCTTCTTACCTTAGAGCAAGAGGACTCTGCCCCTCAAGCAAGGAGTCTCTGTTTCCTAGTGGCACCCACAGACCAGGCTGCAGTTGTTGTGTTTGTTTACTTGTTCAGTGTCTGATGAGCCCTGACAGAATGGAAGCTCCTTAAAGGCAAAAATCTTGCCCGTCTTGTTCACTATTGTATCCTGGTGCCTAGCATAGTACTGAGCACATAAAAGGTACCCAATAAATATTTTTATTTTATTTATTTTTAACGTATTTTTAATTAGTTTTACTTTTTTTTTCTAAGACAAGGTCTCGCTCTGTCACCCAGGCTGGAGTATGGTGGCACAATCACAGCCCACTGCAGCCTTGACCTCCTGGCTCAAGCAATCCTCCCACCTCAGCCTCCTGAGTAGCTAGGACTACAGGTGTGTACCACCACACTCAGCTAATTTTTTGTAGAGACAGGTCTTGCTGTGTTGCCCAGACTAGTCTTGAACTCCTGGCCTCAAGTGATCCTTCCATTGCGGCCTCTCAAAATATTGGGATTACAGGTGTGAGCCACCATGCCTGCCCAAATATTTTTAAATGATGGAATGAAAGGTGCACTTCCAAGCCACCAGGAAGAGTAGCCTTCCCATTTCTGAGAGATCAGAATAATTTTCTTTGCTGCTGACTAAACTTGGGTCCACCTAAGCATTATTGTCCACGGGGACGTAGACCTGGACCACATGGGTGAGCAATCCTGAGTCTGTTTGCTGGTCAGTGGAGCCTACAGACATAGCAGAGCAGAAGTGCCTGCTACATAGCATAGCACAATTGTTTCTATTAAGGACCAATCTTTGCAACTCTTAGGAGACAAAAGCCGGCCAAAGAATGAACACTGACTCTCACAGACAAGAAAATGTTAAGGGTCAACTGTGAACTATGGAAAGGGCTCAACAGGAAGCAAGAGACAACTTTCTCAGGCGCTACTGGAAACCGAGTGCAGAGAGAAGAGTCTGAGAGTCCAAATTTGCACAACAATAAATATTAGGGCAAACAGGATACACGCTCAAGTGTTTATCTCTGCTTAACGGTGTTCACTAAGTGTCCACAGGATTCAGAAAGCTGACAATTTAGATGCACCTAGAAGTAATTATATCATCACATCATCATCACCTTGGCCTGCAAGCCACTGTATAATCACCAGAAAAATCCCCTTCTGTGATACAAGTTAAACAAAGCTGTGGGAAATAACCACACATCTTATTTACTCATCTATAAGCCTACTTTAAGTATCAAGTTTCTTGGAGTGCATATTGTCTGGGTGTGGCCCCCAAATGTCATCCAGAGTGATTCTGCAGCGCCTACCAGATGGTAAGCCAAAAAGTCTAGACACAAACAGTAGCTAAGACTGACCATTATGTGAGTGAGCAATTACATTTCTGACATGTAACGTATACAAAACCCTGGTGAGTGAAAGAGTAGTCAAAAGCTACAGTCTGGCAGCCAACAAGAGTTTTAAGTGTGGGAAAATGTGCTCTAGATTAAAATGTGCAACTTACTTTAAAAAATTAGCTCTACTCTCTCATGGCAGAAATAAGATAAAATGGTTTTTTCATAAGAAAAGGAGATAAGGCTGGGTGCAGTGCCTCATGCCTATAATCCCAGCAATTTAGGAGGCCAAAGTGGGAGAATCCCTTTAGGCCAGGAGTTTGAGACCAGCCTGGGCAATCTAGCCAGATCCCAACTCTAAAAAAAAAAAAAAAAAGCCAGGCATGGTGGTACATGCCTGTAGTCCTACCTACTCAGGAGGCTGAGGCAGGAGGATCCCTTGAGCCCAGGAGTTCAAGGCTGCAGTGAGCTACAATCATGCCACTGCACTCCAGTCTGTGTGACAAAGTGAGACACTATCTCCAAAAAAGAAAGAAAGAAAGAAAGAAAGAAGAGAGAAAAAGAAAAGAGGAGAAAAAGAGATGAAGGGAAGGGAAATTTCTTCTCAGGTAGTATAGCCAGGTATAACAGGCATTGAATAGAGGCTCAGAAAACTGATGGAAATATCCACATATGATCATTTCATGGAGGTAATGATTCCAATTCAAGTCCATTTAACTCAACCAAACATTAGAGTGTCCACTGGATGCCAGGATCTGAGTAAAGGAAGTTACAGGGGGCAAAGAAGAATAAATCATCTTCTCCCAGGGAGCTCAGGGTTTCTAAGGAAATATCCAAAAGTAATACTATAAATGCAGACACCAAGGGCTGTAATTGAAGATGGACAACTGAGACAAGATTGAGGCAGAAAGGTTAACTCACATTCTGGAGTTACGAAGCAAAGCTAATGAAAGGTCAACTGAAAACTACAGGTTCTCTACTTCCTTGCCCATAACACTAAAGAATATGGGGCCTGGAGACTGGAAAGGAAATTTTGAGAAGGAAGAACAAGTTTTCATAGGCAAGAAGCTTTAAAAGTTCAAGGTGTATCCAAGGTGTTAACTATGAAAGACCAGGTGTAGGATGAAAATATCACATTTCAACAAATATCTAGGGAGTACCTACTACTCTTGCCACAAAGATGAGCCAGATATGGCTCCTACAATAATATAATAATAAAAGGGAATAGTAATTGGTCATGATTAAAGAAAAAGACAGGGGAGGCCGAGGCGGGCAGATCACCTGAGGTCAGGAGTTTGAGACCAGCCTGGCCAACCTGGTGAAACCTCATCTCTACTAAAGATACAAAAATTAGCTGGGCGTGGTGGCAGGCGCCTGTAATTCCAGCTACTGGGGAGGCTGAGGCAGGAGAATCACTTGAACCCGGGAGGCAGTGATTGCAGTGATCCGTGATCACACCATTGCACTCCAGCCTGGGTGACAGAGCGAGACTCCATCTCAAAAAAAAAAAAAAAAAAGGAAAAGAAAGAAAAAGACAGGAAAGCCTAATGCTGGGATGGGAAACAATGCTTACAGCAGACCGAAGCAGAGAACGTGAACAAGATTAGCGGGTCAGGTGGGGAATGTGGCAAACTAAAGAGTGTCCTCAGACTCCTTTTGGTTTATTACAGAAAAGCTGAAAACCTGTGTTCAGATGTCAACTCTCCCAACTTTTAAATACTGGAGAAAATCATCTTGTTTTCTTCTTTTCCCCAAAATACAATGCAAGCCAAACAGTACATGTCTGATGCCAAAGTTTGGCCCACGGGCTGCCAGTTTGAGACTGGCATGGGACTGAGTGGGGACAAATGTACACAGCTGTTGACTGTGAGGGCCAAAGAAAAGAGATATTGTGAAGGTTACAGAGCTAAGCCTCAAGAAAAAGAAATACAGCCCTGGGAAAAATAAATAAAGTAATTGAACCAAAAAAATTAAACTCCAGAGGCCTGTGGTATAACATTTGCCACTAACATCTGCACAGCACTTTATAGTTCCTAAGGCTCTTCCTCATGTTATCCCACTTGGCCCCCAACAATCCTAGGAGGTAGACACTATTATTATTCCTATTTTAGAAGTGGAGAGTTTCTGGTTCAGAGCATTTAAGCAACTTGCCTGTGTGGTCCCATAGCTATGGAGGGATAACACCAGAACTCAGGTGTAGATCTTGTACTTTTTCAGACTGTCAAAGAGAAGAATTCCAGGCCATCTCTATCACCTTATTTTTAAGGAATATAGATTCCTGGGCCCTCCCCTAGTCATTTTCATTCACTGGGCCCAAGATACCTAAATTTGTACTTCCCAGATATCTTCCAAGTGATTCTGATGTACAACTAGGCTTGATAACACTGGTCTAGACCAATGTCCTCAACTAGGGGCGATTTTGTCCCACTGCCTGGAGACACTTTTTGATAGTCATAACTATGAGAGTGGAGGATGCCATGGGCATCTAATGGGTAGAGGCCAAGGATGCTGCCAAAAATCCTACTATGCACAGGACAGCCCCCACCACAAAGAATTATCCGCCAAAACCATCAATAGGGCCAAGGTGGGGAAGCCCTGACCAAGGCTCTAGTGCCCTGCTACCCGCATTGTAGTCTGGGAATCAACAGAATCAACATTGCCTGGGAGCTTCTTAGACATTCTGGCACCAGCCCAGACCTACTGAATCGGATTCTGTGGTTTAACAGGATCTCCAGGTGATGCATGTGCGCTTTCAGAAGCACAGCTCTAGACCATGCTTCCTTGGCCATCAAGGAATTTTAGAACAGAATGGAAGCTTAGTGGTAGGCCAAAGTCATTACTTTGTAAATAGGGAAACTGAGGCCCAGAATAACTGAGCAACTCACCATGGTCATACAGCTTGCTTATGGCAGAGCTGAGATCAGATTCCAGATCTCAATTCCTCAACCTGTGTTATCTCCATGATGCCCGTTAGGACCAAAATGAGGGCTCATTCAACAACCCTGCCTCTCTGAAAAGTTGATACCAACCTTGGTGGGGAGGTTTTCTTTTGTTTGAGACGGAGTCTCACTCTGTCACCCAGGCTGGAGTGAAGTGGCGCGATCTCCGCTCACTGCAGCCTCTGCCTCCCGGCTTCAAGCAATTCTCCTGCCTCAGCCTCCCGAGTAGCTGGGACTACAGGCACACGCCACCATGCCCGGCTCATTTTTTGTATTTTTAGTAGAGATGGGGTTTCACCATGCTGGTCAGGATGGTCTCGATCTCCTGACCTCATGATCCACCCGCCTCGGCCTCCCAAAGTGCTGGGATTACAGATGTGAGCCACCGCGCCCGGCTGGTGGGGAGCTTTTTTGAGGCCTGAAAGGAATCTATTGTCCTGTTGGTGAATAATTTAAAAAAAAATTATCCCAAACACCACAAAAGAGTACCATGTTTACCCAAGAATTCAGCCTGCGAGATGTTTTACAAGGAAAGTGGCCATACTGCTTCCATAGTGGTGGTGTCCGGGAGCTAGCATGATGAAACAGTTCTCCAAAATGATGGCAGCAGTCGATGTGGTCTCCTCAAAGACATCTGGGGAATGATATTGAGCCAGTTCCAGAGAAGTATTTAGAATTAAATGGCAGCATAAAAGGGTTTACACCAAGGATTTATGTGGCTGAGGTCACAAGCAGGTTGTGACAGGGTTTGAGGCAGCTTAGTTAAGTCTGATACAGACACACATCAGAGCCAATGGTAGATTTTTCTCCCCCTCCCCACCCACCCCTACCCTGCCCCCTGTCCTTGGGAAAAAGATAAAAACAAATCCTTTCAGCTATTCTTCCAGGCTCAACTTAAGCTAACATATACTCCAGTTCCTAAACAGCTGAGTCCATTGCAGTCCCTTAATCCTAGTATTTGCTGGAAACCCAACTGCTGCCAAAGATGCCATCAACAAAATACAGGACACATCCTGTGTCAAAAAGAACCAGCAAAGTTGGAGAAAGTTCTGTAATAGGTAATGTAAGGAGAGAACGGTAAAGTGGAAGTGTTGCCGGCATTTGGTAACCAGCTAAAGTGAAACCAGAATATTGATGTGTGGGTGAGGGAAACATATTCGCACCTCAAAATTGAGGGGAGAAAAAGAAGAATGAAAGCTTTGCAAGTTTAATACACGAGTAAATACATAATTTTATGTAACATATAATTCTATGCTAAATAAATTGAACAAATAATTAATGACAGGTTGTTTGGAGGGGGTAGATGTTTACAAGGTCTTCCCGTAGGCCACGGTCAGATGGATTTCTACTGCTCTCCACAAACCCTTCTAGCTGAGCCTAGCTGTGAGCTTCTGCTTTTTAACGAAGTTAGTATATAGTGATGTCATTTATTATCCTGCTCCAGAAATGCAATATTTTTTAAAAGGGGGGGAAAGCAGAGAATGTCCTCTACACATTTGAAGAATATATAAAAACCTCTAAAATCTCAGAATATGTTACAGCTGGAAATTTCAGGGAGTTTTTTAAAAAAGTCAGCTTAAATTTAATAGACCGTTTAAATTCTTAGTTGATGGTAATTAGGGAGCAAGAGGCATTTCTTTAAATGCTGCTAGACAGAACTTAATCCAATTTAGGTAATCACTAACCTTTGCTTTTTTTCTCTCTTTCTCTCTCCCGTACATGAAATCCGAGGATTAATCTACAAAGGCCATAAACTGGCAAAGCATAAAAAAAGAATATTTAAAGAGGGAGACTGAGTGACTGGAACCTCAAAGGGCCAAGTCTAATTAAAATGCAAACAGGTCCCACAGGCTCCCTAATTTATATTGACTATAAAGCCAACACCGGGCAGCAGAAGGCATCGGGAGGGAGGTGGAGACACTTCACCACTCTTCCCTTCTGGGAACCTCATCTAGTGTGTTCTGCAATGCGACAGCCATCCTCGCCCAGGCCAATGCTAGTAATTCTCTATATTCACAATATCCACAGCGCCTGACTTTCCTTCTTCTGTGGCATCACTACTGTCAGAATTATCCAGACTATCCCTTCAGGCTTCATTGTTCACCCACCTCCTGTCTCCTCATTTTAGAGTCCCTGAATAGCTCTGGCCTTGACTTCTGATCCAGAAACTTCCATGTGAACCACTAGGATTTTCTTGAGAACTTGGGACCCTGGGTTCTCCATGGAAGGCCTTCAAGGGTAGATATCAAAATGTACTGAAAAGAGCAAGACGCTTGAGTTCATGGCTGTGTGACACTGGGAAATTAACAACCCTCTCTGAGCCTCTGTTTTCTCATCTGAAAATAGAGAAAATAATACCTTCCTACCTGAGTTGTTGGGAGGCGCAAATACCATTACCATAGCTATACCTGACTCACAGAAGTTGCCCAATAAATAAGTCAGCTCATTTGTTTTAACTGTACAAGTTTCAAAGTAAATCTTGGATCCCCAGGTACTGACAAAAATGTGAATTAACTCAAATTCACCTCTGATGCCCCATCACTGCCATCCATCCCCCTCCTTGGCTCCATGTGAAATCTTCTCTTGTAAAACAGTGCTTTCTGCTTATCAGGGTACCGCTCTCTTTGTTCCCCAATTCCAAACCCCATAATATTCTGTACAAAATCCACAAAATATTTTATTCCTATATTTCAGCAACTAAAATATTAATTCACACTGACTTGTTAACAAAGGGTCATTTCTACAAGCATTGCCTTTAACATGTATTTACATTTTACATACAGAGAGGCAACTCTTGAGAACAAACCTTTAATGATGAACATTAGACATTGTAAGGATCTTTCAGAGGAACTCACACACTGTTTTTCAAATCAATTCTGTATTGGGTCTAGCTCTGCAAAAAGAATGAAAAGGAAAAAGGCTGCAATTTAAGAGAGATTTCAGCATATTTTACCTTGTACAAAAGGAACAGCCACAGGAAAACAGACACATGCATACCTACAAATCATTAGTATGGAGAAATCTGAAAAAATTAAGTAATCCACAAAGTCCTTACTGAATTCAATTTTCTACAGATAAATGGCTTTAATGCTGAAGATACATTAAGTCAAGGAGCAAAGTGAGGATTATGATTTAGGTCTGGACTATCAGCAAGAGATTTTCAGATAACCAATATAACAGTTTTCTAAAGACAAGATTAGGGCTTTTTTCCCCAATAACTGAGCCAATTTGTAACATTCTGTGAAATTTTGAAAATAAATAAAAAGCCATCCATCTAATCAACTATAACGTGAGCTAATCAACAATGGAGAATTGAAGGGAAAGACATGTCCAGACTATGAGTCTGGAGTAACAAATCTGTAATCCATTCTCAGCTCCATCCCTGTGTGTATGGCTTTAGACAAATTACTTAAATTCTCCAAGCCTCAGTGGGCTCATCTATATGATAGGGATATAATAGTACCTATATCATTGTTTGCATGAGGAGTATATAATATTATCAAAGTCTCTCAGTGCAAAGTTTAAGACATCATTAAGACCTCAAGAGGCATTTGCACCTTTCCCCTTTTTAAAACAAGTGGCACATATTTGTAATGTTCTAAGACAGAACATTATTGAAATTTCACCCACAGAAATAAATATATATCCATGGCCCTCTGGACCTGAAAGAAATGAGGTCCCACCCTTGAGAAACAAAGTAGTCTAAACTAAGCCTTTGAGAAATAAGCTAGTTAGACTTTCTTATTTCTAGTGCCTTTCTTCTTTTACATATTAGTGGTTCCAGTTGTTAGAAGCATCAGTAACATACTCAAAGAACAATGGTTGCAGTTGGAAAAACTGAAGACAACTTTGTGGATTGACCAAGCATCACTTCCCTTATCTGAAAGGCTACATGCTACAGAAACCGCTCTAAACAGCACCCTTGATCCTGATTCTAGGGCTGCAACCAGAGAAGACTAACCAGCCAGGTTCCACAGACAGGAGCCCTGCACCTTCGTCAGTCATACTGGGAACCTTACCAGGGGCTAAATTTTAAATGTGGCTAAATTAGTTTCTGCAAGCTCCATTTCCCCTCCTGACCCGCTAGCTGCTTCGTGTTGTCAGTAACAGCGCCTTCCACCCCAGAGCAATTTACCACAGCTCAGCACTTTGACATTTTGCAGTATGTAGGGCAATGAAATGTCATGACTGCAAATTTCTACGGTGGTCAGGATCACCAAAGAGAGGTCAAAAAGGGTAGTCTCCCGGGCTTGATCAGCAAGGGTCCCTTGAGGATGGTGGGGGATGAAGGCAGTACATTGGGCCGGTGGCATCCCTTTGGTCCTTAGCATGGGTCATCTGAATGTGCACGTGTCGTCTGGGCAACAGGTCCAGAATTCTGCCCAAGCAGGGAAGCCCGGAGATTCCAGCCCAGAGCTTTTTCCACGCGGGTCTCCGGGGCAGACGTGCAGCTCAGACGCAGCGCGTGAACCTTTCGTCTTGTGGGGCGCATCGCAGTAATTGAAACCTTGCGCACCGCAGGACTGCCGTGGCGTCTATAAATACTCACCGCCTAACTGCTGACAAACAAAACGCGGGCTCCCGGCACCGCGGGGGAAGAGGCGGCGGCAGCATGTGACCGAGGACAGGGACTGGGTAGAACTGGGGGTAACCCCTTTTGCCAGACAGGAAGGCATCCCAGAGCGGATTCCTGAAGCACAGTTAGCAAGCACACAGCCTGGTCCCACCCCGGGCGGCGGCCTCAAGGAAAATGGGCCGGAGGGTTGGGCAGGCAGGGTCCCAGCTGCCCGGGCGGGGCCCCTAGAGCGCCCCCTGCGTGCAGCGAGCCCGGCATGCGCGCACAGTAAGCGCGCAGAGGAAAGCCTCGCCGAAAGGAAGGCAGGCGGGAGAAATAAAACGGAAGGGGGATACTGCGGACTCCCAGCGCGGGGTCCGCAGCCGGGCCGTCCCAGGGCTTGCTCACAGCCCGTCCCGGCGGGATCCCCACTGGCTGGGCCCTGGCCCACCCTAGTCCGCAGAGCGCGCGCGTGCAGCAGCGCACGGGACAAAGTGGCTCCCTGCCCTGCCCTTCTCTCCCACGCCTCCCTCCAGAAAAAGGGGGACCGCCGGGAAAAGGCTGCTGCAGGCGCGAAATCTCCCGTGCTTAAGCGGGGTCAGCTCTTTAGATTTGCCCCCCAGAGGGAGAACGAGAGAGTCAAACAAGCCGACTTTCTTTTTCGACCTCCCGGCTCAGCCTAGGTCCCATGATCACCAGCATCCGCATCCCACCTCACGGCGGTACTTCAACCACCCTAAAGAGCAGACCGGGAGCGTGGCCTGCCCACCTCCCCACCATGGTGGTCTCGAGTAAGATCCCCTACGCCTGCCTGCAGCGTCCGATCGGAGGATCCTTAACCATGCAGGAGTTCCCACCTGGTTGCCCCCCCAAACGTGACACTTTTCCCTAGCTCCTACCCCCGCCACGCCGCGCCCCGTCAGATTAGCGCGCGGTAATTTTCGCTCAATCCTGCGCGGTTGCTGAGCCTATGACTCCGGCCCCTCCCAGAGACGCCCCCCACCCACCACTCACCTCCTTGGGGTCCCCGGCGTGAATCACCCCGAGTCGCGCACACCCGCCGCTCGCCTCCGCCCCAGACTCCGCGCGCCTAGGAAAAAGTTTCCGGTCTTCCCGAGGAAGTTTTCTCACCGGAGAGAAATGAGCGACCTGGATGGTTCTCCCCGTCGCGCTCTGCCCAGCTCTCCCTCCCTCCGTCCCTCCCTCCTCCCCCAGCTCTGCCCTCAGATGGGGTCCCGTCCAGCCTCGGTTCCTCTCCAGCGCGAGTCAACAAACGCTTCGGCCGCGGAGCTCCCACAGCCGGGCTGGTGACACGTTTCCCTCCTCTCTCATCTTACGGCCGCCTCCTCCTCCTCCTCCTCCTCCTCCTCCTCTTCCTCCTCCTCCCCCTTCTCCCCCTCCTCCCCTCTTCCTCCTTCTCCTCCCACTTTTCCTGTCCCGGGCACCTAGCTTTAGTGTCTCTCCAATGTCCCCCAACTCACTTCACCCCATCTCACTCCTCCTCCCCTTCAGCAACTCTCACCCTGCTGGGGAGAGCGGAGAGGGGGGCCCTGCACTTACATCCAGTTCAACAATTTCAGGAAATCCAAGCTTTTTGACTTAAAAAAAAAAAATTGCCGAGGAGGATGCAGCAGGTCAAGGGAGCTCCGTGCTTGCGTTTCTCTCACACAACGGGAGATCTGCAGCCGACCCCCGCCCCCGGCCCAGCTGCCCCGCAATGGGAAACTGCCAAGCCAAGAGGTGATTCTGGGGCTCACTTAAAAAGGAGCAGGGCGGAGCTGAAGAGAGGAGTGGAGCCTGGAACTCTGGCGATTCCAGAAGTTGTTTTAAGTGCATTGATGAAAATATAATGCAAGTGAAATCTTTCCCTTGTTTGCAAATTCTTTTAAAGCTCCCAAACTCATTTTCTAACTGCAGGTTTCATGAATTAGAGGGTCCTTCAGAGTTTGAAACCACAGAAAATCAACAAGCCAAAAATTAAAAATAATGCATAATTATTTTGAAAACTGTTGGGTTTTGTTTTGTTGTTGTTCTTGTTGTTTTTTGCAGGTGTTAAGAATTTAGTGCAGCTGTTTGCAGGACTCACTACCTGCATCATTTCACCCTATGGTTGAGCAGGAAATACTTTAAAAATGCTGCCCGATCGCACATCACACATAGGCTTTGAAACCACAGTGACATTTGCTGAAGAAAAAGATGTGCATGTCCTTTTATCTCAAAACTGAGCAAGACTCATTTTCATTTTTTGATTTGGTCATTGCGACCCTACAAAACCTATGTGTTACGGTGGTTGTGGGCATGAGAGCGGGTTGAAGAAGTTCTGGGTGTCTCATTTGTCCTGCGATATTAGGTAAAGCTAAAAGATCCTCAACAGAAGCCCTAGAATGATGAAGGGCTTTAAATTTCATCCCAGGAATCACACACAATGAAAGAGACTGGGCATGGGACACATGCCTGGGAAACAAAATCTTTTTTTTTTTTTTTGAGACAGTTTCCCCTCTGTCATCCAGGCTGGAGTGCAGTGGCATGATCTCGGCTCCCTGCAACCTCCACCTCCCCGGGTTCAAGGAATTCTCATGCTTCAGCCTCCCGAGTAGCTGGGATTACAGGCATGCACCACCATACCCGGCTAATTATTGTATTTTTAGTAGAGATAGGGTTTCACCATGTTGGCCAGGCTGGTGTAGAACTCCTGACCTCAAGTGATCCACATGTCTCGGCCTCCCAAAGAGCTGGGATTATAGGCATAAGCCACCGTGCCTGGCAAGAAACTGAGAGGACAATGAGCAGGGAGGAGACTTAAAAGAGGCTCGTCTAAGGGATTAAGAGCCAAAGCCTGGAGCCAAAATGGCAAGGTCTCCACAGCAGCTCCTCTTCTTCCCATACTCTGGTTATTAGCCAAGTTACTTAACTTTGCTGTGCCTCAGTTTACTCATATGAAAATGGGGATAAAAGTAGTAGCTCTGTCTTAGGGTGGCTATGAGGATTTAGTGAATTCATACAGAAAAAGTGTTTAGAATCCCTGCTGGGATTCAAAGGATATTAAGCTATTATTTTTCCTATCATTATCCCTAGGGCCTGGGAAGTGGAAAGGGAACTAGTTCTACCCGGCTGCAGGGAGATCAGTTTGGGAACATCCATTCTACATTGCTAACTCTCTCAATCTCCTTCAAGTTTTATTTCAATAAGACCTACCCTATTCCACCTATTTAAAGTTGTAATTCGCCCCTCCCTCCCAGTCTCCCTCATTCAACTCTGCTTTTTTTTTTTAATAGCATCTATAACCTTGTAACACATTGTATGGTTTACTTTAAGAAAAAAATTTTGGCCGGGTGTGGTGGCTCACGCCTGTAATCCCAGCACTTTGGGAGGCTGAGGCGGATAGATCACGAGGTCAGGAGTTCAAGACCAGCCTGGCCAACATAGCGAAACCCCATCTCTACTAAAAATACAAAAATTAGCCGGGCATGGTGGCGGGTGCCTGTAATCCCAAGTACTCTGGAGACTGAGGCAGAGAATTGCTTGAACCTGGGAGGTGGAGGATATAGTGAGCACTGCACTCCAGCCTGGGAGACAGAGCAAGACAAAGAAAGAAAGAGAGAGAGAGAGAGAGGAAGGAAGGAAGGAAGGAAGGAAGGAAGGAAGGAAGGAAGGAAGGAAGGAAGGAAGGAGGAAAAAATTATTATCTGTCTTTTACCACCTCCTACTTTCAGGGTAGAACATCAGCTCTATAAGGGATCGGTTCAGTTAAACAAATCTGATGTTTTTAATTCACTGATATTGCCCAAGTTTCTAGAATAGTGTCTGGCACATAGTATGTACTCAGCAAATGACATAGAAATGAACTTATTTAGCGTATGCTGTACTGATTGCCTATGGTGGGCAGGGCATTGTGCAATAAGAAAAAAAAGGTTAATCATGAGGCCTGTCTAAAGATGAAAGAGTCTCCTCTGGGAGAAGCGTACTTCCTGGTAAAGAGAAGTATTCACAACATACGAGCATGCCATAAAAAAGTATTGAAGGACTGAAAGGGAAGTTTAAAGAGGTTAAATTCTTTTCTAACCCTAAGAGTTTCTCATTTTGTAAGCAGATATTTTTTCTTTCTTTTTTTTTTTTTTTTAAAACAGAGTCTTGCTCTCTCGCCTAGGCTGGACTGCAGTGTCTTAATCATAGCTCACCATAGCCTCAAATTTCTGGGCTCAACTGAGCCTTTGCCTCAGCCTCCCAAAGCACTGGGATCACAGCCACCACGCCAAGCCAGAATTTTCTTAAGAGGAGAAGTAGTCAGTATTTCCATGGAAATCAGAGCTTCTCCTTAAGGACCATTAATGCCAATATATGATGCTTGTCACCAGCCAAATTCTAACCAAAATTCTACCTAAATGTCAATGGGACTTTGCTTTTTCTTATTAAGAAACAGAATCTTCATAGGAGAAACCAGTGTTGGTCATTCTAGTTAAACATTAATTTATGAGGAGGAAATTCTAGGTCTTTATTAGATATATACACAGCTTGCCATGTCCACAACCTCTGAAATGGAAGTCAGTCCAATCAAGGCTCCTGTTGAAAGAGTAGCTATCCCTGAGGCAGCCCCCTTTAAGACTAAGGGTGGGCACCTAACCCAGGTGCATCCAATCCATAGATTTGTGCTGTGAAAATTTTGGCCCCAAAAAGTACACTTCACCAGTAAGATTACATTTCAGGAATGTGAACACACACACACACACACACACACACACACAACTATTAGGCAGCGCAAAAGCTGAAGTTTGTGACTTTATCTGAACTCTAGATTCTAAAAGCTGCACACTGGCTGTGGGCTCGTTAAATGTTCTATATTAGATTGTATTGTTTGAACCTTATGAGGTCAACATTGTTTGAACTACTTGCCAATATTTTAAAATTAGAAAACGTCATGCAAAAATACAGATTTTTCAGCTTGCCTTGAAAAACCTAGGGGACCTGGCATCATTCTTGCTGCAGACCTGCACTCTGTAATTGGCTAGTTCTGCAGTGCTTTTTCTCCCTTTTAGGGAGAACGTGCAGTTTCCAGTTTGCCACAATCCCAGCCACTCCCTGCTTCTCTTGTTACCAGTCTGATCGCCCATTTTCCTGCCACTCTGAATGCAGCTTGCAAGGGATGCGGACACATAGTTAGAAGGGGCCAGAGCTATGAGCAAGCAGAAATTATGCAATAGAATGGCATGGGTTCAAACCATTTTACAAAGAAAACCTTGCTTGGAACCACATAATTTGAACACTATTGAGATAAAGGAAGCAGTAGAAGACAACTGGACATCAAGACCAGGAGAAGCAGAGGCCCTCCCTGAGAGGCTGCCTTGTGATCAAAACCACCTTTCAGATTCTGTTCTTCCAGAGGTCCGTTGTTCTACTTTTGCTTTGTTCCCATGACAATGCCTGCCCACCCCATTCCCATTACTCATTTCTACCCCGCACAGAGCCTAACCAGACCAAGTTCAGGCAGGGTTAGGTGACTTGTTTGAAGTTATACACAGGCAAAAAAGGACAGGACAGAGATCTCTGTCCACACTCTCTTCCTCTGATTAACTGCTTCCATCTCTGAATAATAATGAAAATTACTCAATTTACGCATTATCGCATTTATTTATTCATTTTATTATTATTTTTTTTTATTTTTTTGAGATGGAATCTCTCTCTGTCACCCAGGCTGGAGTGCAGTGGCACGATCTTGGCTCCCTGCAAATTCTGCCTCCTGGGTTCAAGTGACTGTCCTGCCTCAGCCTCCCAAGTGGCTGGGATTACAGGCGTGCACCACCACACACAGCTAATTTTGTTTTTTTAGTAGAGACGGGATTTCACCATGTTGGCCAGGCTGGTCTCCAACCGTTGACCTCGGGTGATCCGCCCACCTCTGCCTCCCAAAGCGCTGGGATTACAGACCTAAACCACCATGCCCAGCCCACATTATCACATTTAATGCCTTAGGGGTCTGAGATACAATAGGTGTGAAACAAATGTCTGCCACGTTTAGGTGTTTGAAGTTTGATCTCCCTCCACAATAACCCTAGTGTCTCATACTATGATATAAAAGTATTCCAATGAAGAAAAACATATATCCTCCCATAAGTTTTCTCCTTTTGTAGATGGAAAAAAGGAGGCCCTGATAATCCAAGATCCTTTGTTAATGCCTAGCACAACTTGTGAGGAGCACAAGTAGATCTCCCAGCCGTGTGCAACATAAGAACACACAGTTTTTCAGGTCCTCAGAGCTCAGGTAATAAAATGAGTTAATGTAGTTACTCATGATAAATACCAATCTAGATATAAAACTTGCGTAAGCACTCAATATACCACCACAGCACTATACTATCCATAAAAATGGGACCATTTGAGAAATATGCTCAGCATCTGATCTAACACCAGGGTGTAAAATCAGTGACCTTTGGTACAGCATGGAGATTTAGCACACAAATGATAAAAGTTTGCCCTCCTTCTGCCTTCCTTGTAACTTCCACAGTAGAAAAATTGAGAACCCTGAAGTCTGCTTTTTGGGAGAATTTTGGATGACATAAGCAAAATAATTATTTTAGTCCCTTTCATCCTTCTCTTGTTAGCAATGGGGTATTTCTGGTATGTTGGGTTTTATCATCGTTTCTGTCTTTTGGTATTGGGGAGTGTCTGCCCTCCATTCTAAAGTGGCTCGTAGTGAATTAAATCTGACTGTCTGAGAATAATTTGAATAAGCAAATCTTAACAGGGAAAAAAGAAATTTGGTGATCCTACTTGAATTTTTCTTGGATAATTTTCTTCTTGTTTTGTTTTTTTTGTTTGCTTTCTTTTGTTTGTTTTTTTTTTTGAGATGGAGTCTCCCACTGTTGCCCAGGCTGGAGTGCAGTGGCGTGATCTTGCCTCACTGCAACCTCCACCTCCGGGGTTCAAGTGATTCTCCTGCCTCAGCCTCCCAAGCAGCTGGGATTACAGGTGCCTGCCACCACACCCAGCTAATTTTTTGTATTTTTAGTAGAGATGGGGTTTCACCAGGTTGGCCAGGCTGGTCTCAAACTCCTGACCTTGTGATTTGCCCGCGTTGGCCTCCCAAAGTGCTGGGATTACAGGCGTGAGCCACCTCGCCCGGCCTCTTGGATAACTTTCAAGGATTTCAGTTATTCCTTCCCACAATCCTAAGTCAGTCATTTGGTCAACAAATACTGGCTGGCCACTTATTGGTGTCAAGCACCAGTGATGTAATGGTGAACAAGAAAGACAAGGTTTCTAACACCAAAGAGCAGAAGACAAACATTACACATGGAAACAAATGCATAAAGGAGATCATCTCAAGTACTGATGTGTGCTACGAAGAGGACAAACTAGAGTGACTGGAAAAAAAGAAGAGAAATGCTTTACATAGGGTCATCAAGGATGATCTTCCATAGAAGATAACTTTGAAATTGAGACTTAAATGATGAAAAGAGGCATTTATGGAAACAGAAGAATGTTCCAAACAGAAGAAATGGTCAGTACAGAGGCCCTGAGTCAGGAAGAAGCATGGCAAGTTAGAAGGAGAAAGCAAGCCCCTATGGTTGAAGCATAGGAAACAGGTGGGGTGGGGGACAAGATGAGGTCCAAGCAACAGAGCAAGGTCATGGTAAGGTCCTGGTAAGGAGTTGGTCACAGTGGGAAGTCACCACTGCCATGATCAAACATGCTGCCATTGTATTGCCCAGTTCATTTCCTAGAAGGCCTTTTGCATCAATGGAAGACACTCCATTGCAAATAATCCCCTCTCTGCATCTTAAGACAGGATTGAACAGGAAACATTCCAAATAAATACTGAGTTGCAGGCTGGGCATGGTGGTTCATGCCTGTAATCCCAGCATTTTGGGAGGCCAAGGCGGGTGGATCACCTGAGGTCAGGAGTTCAAGACCAGCCTGGCCAACATGGTGAAACCCCATCTCTACCAAAAATACAAAACAATTAGCCAGGCATGGTGGCAGGAGCCTGTAGTCCCAGCTACTCGGGAGGCTGAGGCAGGAGAATCGCTTGAACCTGGGAGGCAGAGGTGTGGTGAGCTGAGATCTCACCACTGCACTCCAGCCTGGGTGACAGAGTGAGGCTCCATCTCAAAAATAAATAAATAAATAAATAAATTCCCAGAGTTATCCAAAACACAAGAGATTTTCGTCTTTCTTGGTGATTGTAGATGCCTTTGGGGGGCATCTGACCAGACCATACCGCCTTTTCCAGGAACCATCACATACCTCAGACTCTGCAGAATGGGGCAGTGGATTGTCCTAGACCTGTATCAGGTGACTGGTCCTGGGACTGGGCACCTGACACATGAGTAGATGAGATGTGCCAATCAAAGTGTCCTTTGGGATACAAACTAAGGAACCCACGTGCTATATAAGATAACTGGTCTCCCAGCTTCATCCTCCCCCAGCAGAAGCTGGCTTCTGGTTTCCTCACAACACTCAGCCTCAGCCTCAGCATCACTCTCTGCACTGCAGTCATCAGGACTGGCCACCTTATGCCCTGCATCCTTGTCTCTGCCCATCAGTTCAAAGATCAGGGCCTAAGGTTGTCTTAATCACCCCAGATTATCATCACCACGTGCTTTTATCCATCCCAGTTTCTGACCTGTCTCCCAGCCCTTCCTCATTCCCAAACCTCCTTTTGTGCACCCTGAAACCCATAGTCCATCACCAGCAAAATCCCCTACACTTCGACTTCTTTCCTGAGCATTTCCTTTGCCTTTATGTACTAACTCAGTGGTTGTCAAACATTTTTGTCTCACGACTCTCTTTAAAGTGATTGGGGACCCTAAGAGCTTTGATTTTCGTGGGTAGTGTCTATCAATACTTACTGTATTTGAAATTAAAAATTAAAATTAATGTATTCAGTTTAAAATAATAGTAAAACCATCACATATTTTATGGAAAATAACTATATTTTCCAAAACAAAACAGAACAAAAGTACTGGGAAGGATGGTATTGTTTTACATTTCTGAAAATCTCTTTAATGCCTGGCTTAATAGAAGACAGTTGGATTCTTCTACTGACTTCTGCATTCAATCTGTTGTTGCATTATCATACATTACGTAGACTCTGGAAAATTCCACTACAGACTTGTGAGAGAATGAGAGTGATAAGGTGAATAATATCTTAGTTTTCTATGAAAATAGTTTTGAGCTGTGGATCTCTGCCAGGTCTTAGAGATTCCCTAAGGGTCCCTGAACTACATTTTGAGAATCGCTGTTCAAAGTGAACTCTGCTTTTCTGCTGAGGCCCTAAAAATCCTCTCAAATGATGGTATTTTCTCTCCCACACTCATGGCATGACTGGACTTTGAGGTGGAGTTATTGTTTTCCTTGTTTTTTTGTGCCACTTCCAGACCACAATCCCTCCCTAAAATCCCCATCAAGCCATTAGACTATTCTACTCGCTATCCCCTGCCCCTGTAGTGGTCATTACAGATTCCTGGGTTATCTCCCTCTTGCCTTGAAATTTTCAGACCTGGTTTATGATCACTCTCTTAGATGTTGCTCTTTTCATAATTCTCCATGATTTCAATATTCATAGAAATAATTTTTCCAATATCCCAGAAGCTCAGATCCTTGACCTCTGCCCTGATGACCTTGTTCTCCAATCTACGGCAGCCACTTACTCTCACGGTCAGCCTTGACGTTTTCATTTCCTATTTACACCCACTCCCACTCTCTTAACACCACCTCCCATCTTTCACGGTCATTCTCTCTAGTACTTTGGCTCCCACAAATCTTCAGCTCCCCCGAGATATACTATCTTAACCCACGGCTGGTCATCCTCAAGTCCTCACTTCCCTCCTCACCCAGATTAGATTCCCTTATTATATTAACTCCCTCACATACACCCTGGACTCTCTTACCCTTTTTTTGTTTACCTCATACACTTCATTGTATTTACTTTGAGAGAGAGACGGCAACAGAGAGAGAGAGAGAGAGAGAGAGAGAGAGAGAAGTTCTCTGGTCCCGGCTCCCATGAAGCCTGGCTTGGGCTTATTTCTATGAGACACTCCTTTTATTTGAGATAGTGGGGTCCAGGGTCCAGGTCAAGTTGTCCTTTGAAACCCAAATATCTTGACCAGAACAGTCATCCCTTCTAGTATAAGCCAAACCTTAGGTCAATCAATGTTTCCTTGTGGGGAAAAAGGCTAAGGTTTGGACTGAGACCTGGTAGTACCATTTAAGGACAGTTCCATTTGAAGGCAGTGAGAGTCTCAGTTGCAGACACTACCTGTTTCTTAGGGATTTCATGAGGCCTAAATGAGGTTTAGGAGAGCCGTGTGAAATACTTGGCACAATGCTTGGCACATTGTAATACATTTTTTAGTAACAAAGAAAAATAATTAGATACCATATTTGAAATAAGAGAACTTGTGTGTTATTGACCAACCATTATGTTTGTTTCCCCACATAAATAATCTCAATTCTTTTATGGCAAAGCCTAGTATTTTATTCTATTCCCAATTTGTTGAACATATGTTTTAGCCTTTATTTACATTCTGATGTGTATTACTGCATGCTGTTGAATATAAATGAGACTTCAATAAGTGGTCTGAGAATATGGAAATACAGTCGTAATCTTAAAAATAAAAAATGACATTTACACCCTTCCCACTTCAGAAACAGATAAAATCAAGATAAGGAACATAATCACATGAATATAATATAAATAATGACATAAGACAGCAGTCTGCATTGGATATATAGAAAGGCGAATGGAATAAGGAAAAATTTGTGTATGCTTATTCATTCCTGTCTGTGGGAGAAGGGAGGAGAAGGGAAGGAAGGGAGGGCAAAGAAGGGGAGAAAGAAGGAGAGAGGAGTTTTAAACTCTACTGTGAAAGAATTCTGGCCAGGATAGTTTATTTAGGCTATTCAAGAGACCCAATCAAAAATTCCTCAAGGCAATCTCAGCCCCTTTCCTCAGAGTCAAAGCCTACTGTACAACCCTCTAACCACTAATTTAGCGTCCTAGGCACCATAATACAAGGTACATCCCATACAAAGTAAGCTTTGAGGGATTAACTCATGCTAACTACATTCCCCAGAGAGTGACGAATAAACTAAAATACTAATTAATTAGTAATTTGGTTTCTAGGACTTTCTACCTAAAATCACATTTATAAATTATCTCTTTAGCAAAAGAGATGTCATTAATAGGAAATGTATTTGTTTTTCATTTTACTCAAAATCTTCCTTTGCAAAATAGAATTTACATTATACTCTAAGTATGGCATATGCCTCCCTCTTCCTCCCTTTTTGTCCTCTCTCTCTCTCTCTCACACACACACACACAAATATGGAATTGATAAAAACAAAAAAATTACAACTGACATTAATATTAATTGCAAAAAAATATGAATTGCAGATGTACCATGTGCTGACACTATGTGAGGTACTTTGCAAGCAGTGGCTCACTTACTCCCCAGACAACACCAGGAAAGAGGTGCTATTATTATCCCCATTTTATAGATGAAGAAGTTGAGATTAAAAGAAACAGCTTAGTCATTTCCCAAGGTCCCACAGCTTGACAGAGGTAGAAATAACTACAAATTATACAGTTTTATTTCCCAGTGTAAGTTCTTCAGTCATCTTGACCTCCCAATTAAGGAAGAGGAAGTTGCAAAACTGTTTGGGGAAGATAAATATTCTCATCCAAACCACTCATTGCAGGGAGGTTTTCTGCTGGATGTGAGAAATTAGATTTCTGCAAGAGCAGAAAGTGAACAGAGGAAAGATGCCCTGTCCCCTAGCAGCACCTGTACCTAGCAGTGCTTGAATGTCTCACTCAGTCAAGGTGAGACACGCCAGCCAGGTGGATGGCTGCCCTTCACAAAGAACTCTCTTCTTTCTCCAGCGTTAACTGGTGGGCAGTTCTAGTCTGACAATAACACAGACTGGCCCATCACTCAACATCTGCTTCAATTCTTTTCCTAAATATAATACTTGTATTACCAGAGTTTTGGTGTTTCAGCCTGGCTTTCATTGATGAAGTCTGGCTTAGCTATCCTAGATGGGCATTTCTCAAACTGTTCCCCAAGAAGGGGAAGGGATAATACCATGAAATGTTGCTGGTGTTGCTGGAGAAACATTCCTTAGTCTAATAACTTTTGGAAAAATACTCCATGCAATACTGTAAAATGCAGTCGTATATTAAGAACTTGGAGGTGGTCTTCAGAAAAAAAAATTCAATAGTTTAATTTCATTTCATGGAATACTATTAACAGCTTAAGGAAATAATATTCAGCAGGATATAATTGGGAAATGTGGTCCTAGACAAAAGAATTCCCTGTCAGTCAAACTTGCTTCGAAAGGACCCGAGACTGTATAAGACGAGGGGAGATCTTAATTGAGTCTACTCAGTAGACTCTGCTTTCGGCTTTTTAATTTCTTGGATGACTGGTCTGCTGATAGTCTCCCAAATTTACAGAGAAAAAAAAAAGCCCTGCTTCAGTTTCCACTGCAGAAACAAAGCAAGTAAACTTGAACGATCATTCCCGCTAAGTGCTTTATCATAAGAACCAGCTACCTCCTTCACAGAAGGGATGATGAGACCTAACAGATATGATCTAAGGACGTTTGATAGGAAATCAGCATGAGCAGCCATTATTTACTGAGTTTACATTAAGTACCAGGCCCAGACTAAGCCCCCAGCAGATAGTAACTCGTTTAATCCTTACAGCCTGCCTGTGATGTACGGATCACTGAACTGTCTATTGGGGAATATCTAGAACTTCACACAGTGCCTCCTCCACTGAGCAGCCACTCAATAAATGTTCACTAGAGGAAGGAAGAGAGAAAGGAACGGAGGGAGGGAGAAAGGAAACAAATTGAGGTTTAGAGATGTCAAATTGCCCGACGTCACACCTTTAACAAGCAGGAAAGTCAGGACTCAAACACGGGAGAGCTGAGCTCTTCCACACCTGGACAGACTGCCAAGCTTCCTGCTGACTAACACACAGCCAGCCTCTAGGAGCTGGCTTGAGGTCCTGGCTACACTTGCTAAGGATGTTAGCTTTGGGCAGCTTGTAGCTTGTATAATCAAAACTGCTGTGTTTATATGGCACTTTTTTTGAGTTTGTAATAATGCAATAGGTAAAATTTACTGAGCACTTACTAAGCTAAGCACCAGGCACTATTCTAAGAACTTTACAAAGCTCATTCTCCATGACCATCCTAAGAAATAGGTGCAATTATAACCTACCTTACAGATGAAGACACCGAAGAGCAGAGGGGTGAGGTGACTTAACCTCTAATTAAGTGGTGGAGTCAGGACTTGAACTGAGGCAATTTGATCCCCAAATCTCTGCATTTAACCTCTTTACTAAATTCATTCCCTCTATCTAATGACAGACCTCACGAGAGAAGGAAAGGACAAAGGCAAGTCCCATTCACAGTTGGATAGTTAAATATGTGTATTAATTTAACCCCCAAAAATGTTTACTATGCATAGCTCTCAGCACATCACAAGTGTCAACTCATTAATTCTCCTAAAACATGAAACAACACTATGAGCCCAGTGCAATTATTATTATTTCCATTTCACAGATGAGGAAACTGAAGCACAGAGAGGTAAGTAACTTGCCCAAAGTCACACAGCAAATGGCAGAGCTGAAATTCACACCTGGACATTCTGCCCCCACTAGTCTGTGGGTTTAACCACCACAGAGTGCAGCCTGACAAGAACATGCAGGTGCCTTATTTAAAAGTGAAATACCCTCCCAAGACCAGTGGCTAAAAATGGTCTCTAAGAGGAAGGCAGAGCCATCTGTAGACCTGGAAATTAAACAGGGCCATGGAGCTTGAATGACTTAATCACTGTTCAATTTAGATTTCCTGGTTGAAAGGGTTCCTGTTCGTCCTACTGGAAATTAACAGCCGATTGCTTCTTGGCATTCTTGTGGGAGGGGTGGGCCATTTTCCTCTGGCCCAGCTGTTTCTGGAAGAGTAAGTGCCTTGCCAGTGTCAGGCAGGTACAGAAAGACTGGTAGGTAAAGGGGACCAGATCCCTTTGTCAAGTGAGCTTAGCAGAAATCAGTCAACTCCTGCTTTTTCTGCTGGTCTAGGAGCTGGGGCCCTTCCTCCACTCCTTGCAGGAAACCTGCCCGGGGGTTGATTCATCTCTCAAAGGCGGGTCAGGAGGAAGGGGAAAAGAAAAGACAAGAGTCAGGTCATTTATTATCAGAAGGGGCAAAAGAGCTTCTAAGGAAGCGGTGAGGAGCTGTAACCACAGCATCTGCAGAAAAGGCATTGAGCTATTAACAGTGAATTCTGCTTAGTACAGTCAATCTGTCCCCAGCTAATCTGGAAAGAAAGATATGAGCTCCCAGAGGTCAAGGAGTGATGTCTGCCCTCACACTTCGAAAGCACTCCAGGAATATATTTTAAATAACTTGTGTCATGAATGTAAGTTAACAGCAAAGAATTGGGCTTACTTTTCTCCTGGTCCATAAATATTTGCCTCTCTTTCTGTCTCCTGGTATGATGCAAAGAATGGTGTGTGGAATCTTGACCACAGCCTCATTCCCGGCCACTCTTTCCCTCTCACCTCATCCTATGCCCAGGCACACTGAGATGCCTGTGGTCTGGGAAAGGCAGTAGTTATTGCACACAGGTCGAGGGTGCAGAGACAAACCAGGCTCAGGCCTGGTCCAGTGACATAGCCATGTGAACCTGGGTGCACGACTTAACGTCTCTGGGCCTGGAGAACCTTGTTCTCTTTCTCCCCCTTAGAAATACCCACTTCCCCTGCAGGAGCCAGGTCAAAGGGCTGCCCTGCTCCTCCATCCCAGGCAGGCTGCCCAAGCACTCAGCACACACACCACCCCCCAGCCCCCACCCATGCAGCATTTGCCTCCTCTTGTTACAGTGATCAGTTTACCTGTCTGTCGCCACTCACAAATTATAAAATCAATGACAGCACATTATTTATCTTTGAATCCCCAATATCTAAGCAATTCCTGGGCTATAACAGAGAATCCATAAGACCTTTTATGGAAGGAAGGAGGAAAAGTGGAAGTGAGAAAGGAAAGATGGGTGGAGAGAAGAAGGGAGGACAGACATAATTGATTATGCTTTCAAACAGAAACAGCAGGCATGGTGTGAGAAGTGCTAGAAAAACATTCTTTCCCCAATATGTCAATTCTGCTTGCCCAGTGTCTAAAACGTCCTTTTTTGGAGATTTGTTCCTGGGGTAAAGATACTGTCTCCGGTTCTCCTTGTCATTGTTTCCCACCAACCACCGCCCCCGTCCGCCCACCCCCACCCCGCCAAGGGTGATGTGTGAAACTGTCAATAGCCCAGCACCTTAGCATTCACTTGCAAGATAGATTTTCTAAAGACAAGTGGGGAAAAGGCACGTCAGCACTTTGGTGCTAAAAGTGAAGGAATAGGGTCCTCAAAAAGGGAAGGGAGGGATCCGTTTCAGTGAGTCAGAGTCATAAGAATGAGAGCATGCGATTCCCATACCCACCCTGCCCTGCCCTCCCATCAGAAGCATTCTCCCTTGCCTACATCACTCGGAGCAAGTTCTGTTTTCAGGACGGAGCCGGTGACCGGTTCGCCAATGGAAGGCAGGAGTCTCTGGTGACTGCCTGCTGCTTCCGTGCTGACAGAATGTCTTTTTTTTTTTTTTTTGCCTTTTATGTACTCATTTGTTATTACTTCAGCACCCCCCGACTTTGAACTTGGTAAGGGAAAAGACTCTCTCTACTAGCATCCTCCAAACTGAAAGGACCCTCAGAGGTCACTTTATCCAACTGTGCCTCATGCTGGAATCGTCTGTATCACCTCTCCCAAGCCCCTCGAGGGAAGAGAGGCTCGCGATCTCTCTTTAACAGCCATTCCATTTTAGAAAACCACAAGAGTTAGATATAACCTAGAACCTGCTGCTCTAAAACAAAGGAGAAAAACAAGTAAAAACAAGTGACTTGTGTTAGGTCACACTTAGGAAAATTCTGCAGAAGTCCAAGGGTAATGAAAAAGGTTGTCTCTTTACCTCATTTTTTTCAGTAGACATTGATTTGCCCACATAAATGAACAAGTATAAGCAAACACACTATCGTTTGATCACATTCCCACAATGATTTCTTTCCTCTGGTAGAAACAGTAAATACCTAGAGATCAGTGACTCAAACTTTTTGAACTCAGTAACCCTTTAAAGTCTTAGAAATTATTATGAGCCTTAAAGTCTTTTGTTTTTATAAGTTATATCTGTTGATACTTAACATATTAGAAACTAAAACTGAGAAAATCCTTGGTTATTTATTAATCGATTTAAAAATAATTTTAAAAGCCATTACAAATTAACATAAGTAATGTATTTTTATGAAAAATAGCTATATTTTCCAAAAGCAAAAGGTATATATAGCAAGAAAAGTGGCTTTGTTTTTTATTTCTGCAAATCTCTTGAATATCTGGCCTAAGAGATCTGGATTCTCGTATCTGCTGTGCACTTAGTCTGTTGCAATACCAATGCCATGTCACCTCCGGAAAACTCCACTGTATACTTGTGTGAAAATCAGAGTAGAAAAGGCAAATAATATATTAATGTTGTTAGTCTTGTTAAAATAGTTTTGAGCTCATGGACCTCCTAAAAGGATCTCAAGCAACTAAGATGAGTTACATAGGTGGGGACCAGTGCAAAGTGAAAGTGCTGTTTCTTGTCCAAAAGTTATAAAGCATTTCAAGACAGCCACAGCAGAACATTGAACTGAGCTCTGAGCATGGGGCCCTGCGTGACTTCACAGTTCCTGCAGGCAACTTCAGGGGTCTCTGACCACATGTCGAGAACTGCTGCTGTAGAGTTATACTTGCTTCTTGAATCAAATGAGTGGCTTAAGACAATTAGTGTACACCAGGGTGATATCAAGTTAGGAGTGTGTGCATGTATGTGTGTTTGAGCTGCTGGATCACCAGGTGTAAGTGTTCTTGAGTAATAACATATACCTAACAAGATAAAAGCATGACTTACACAGATTTTCCCCCTGGGTGTATATCATAAAACCTTACCCTCTTATTCAGCCTATTATTCCACACTGACCCTAAACATACACACACACATGCATTTATGCATGCACACACATACGCCTTGAGCTGATGGCTTGCATGCATGTGGGTGTGTGTGTTACATGTGCGATGTTACATGTGCACATACCCCTTTGTGTTCCAAATGGCTGCACACCAGATAGTCAGATATTTGTCATGGTTTCCTGTTTTGGGTTTTTATTGGGTGACAGGCTTTGATCAGCAAAACTGACATCTCTCGTCCCCATTTTCCTGTTTGGTACCTTATACATAGTAGGCACTCTAAGCATTTGCTGAGTTATATTTTATAACTCTGGTGGTTAGAGAAAATTATGCTTATTAAATACTGTTAGCAACTGATGGTTAGCACATAGATATCCCATTTGATCCTCCTTCCTGAGAACTCAACACTTAGGGAGGTAACCATCCCACTAATAATAGGTAGACTTGTCCAGAGAAGAACAGTATGTCATTGTCATTCTACTAGACACAAGGTAGCAATATTTCATGATTCTCCTGAGATTCAGGCATGAATTTAGCTAATAAAGAACATAAGTTTTCTGTTTTGTGTGTCTGTGTGTGTGTGTGTGTGTGGGTGTGTGTGTATGTGTGTGTGTGTGTGTGTGTGTGTGTGTGACAGAGTCTCACTCTGTCGCCCAGGCTGGAGTGCAGTGGCATGATCTCGGCTCACTGCAACCTCTGCCTCCCAGGCTCAAGCAATTCTTATGTCTCAGACTTCCTAGTAGCTGGGACTACAGGCGCGCATCACCATGTCCAGCTGATTTTTGTATTTTTAGTAGAGATGGGGTTTTGCCCTGTTGGCCTTCAAACTCCTGACCTCAGGTGATCCACCCACCTCGGTCTCCCAAAGTGCTGGGATTACACGGGTGAGCCACTGCACTCGGCCAGGCTTCTGAAGTATTTAAAACAATGCCCTATAGTTTCTGTTATAGACCAGTCTGGATTTATCCCGTCTCTGTCTCTGTTGATCCGCTCCTTTGGGACATACTGTTAGTGTCTTCATGGCATCTGCTCTGGAATCATCATGTCTGTATCTTATCTGTTATTTTCTACGTTTTAATGAAAGTGTTACACTAATTGCTGACATCTTTGCATCATTATTGATTGTCAGCATTTGATCACAAACATTTGTGTCTTCCTAAAGAACAAAACACCAGAATAAAATGATAATTAATATGTAAAAAAATTAAAATTAAAATTAATGCCCTAGACTCCAGTAACAAATTAATCCATTTCAAAGAATAGTATACACTTGTATAAATATAATGTGGACTCTATTACAATTCTGGTCAAATCACCTCTCTCTCCAACACCGAAGGAAGTGACTGTGGCCTCTCTCCCACGCTAAGACAAAATCTTTCAATAAGAGGATTAATCTTTCACCTAAAATGGCAGAACATCCTTCTATTCTCATTAGAAGTTAATACCGCTTCACGTACAAAGGACCCCTGGATCTTTAGTTCAAATCTGCCACTTACAGATGAGGAAACTGAGGCTCAGCGACATGAAGTGACTTATTTGTCCAAAATCACACACAGCTATTTAATGGCAGCACTGGGACTCAAATGCAGTTCTCCTAGCATTAGATAAAGGACCATCCAACCACAAGAATATGAGCCTGCAAGTCAGTGTGGGTCCACGTTACTGAAAATCCAACCACTGATTACTAAAAATCCAAGCACTGATGTATCAGGGATTGTCAATAAGTAAAATGCAAAACATCTCCAAATCTAGCCAGGTGCCAAAGCCCTTAACCAGTGCCCTGAGCACTATCGCCTCCCAGATGTATGAAGTATCTTTCCTTCCTCTTCAGTATCTTCATCCTCTTCCCCTTTGCCAGCCCTTTTTCTTACTTCCATTGTGTATTTATCACCTTGGGAAGAAGAAAAAACAAACCTCTACATGGCTGGCTACTCCTTGTAGTTGTAATTCTATTTCTTTCCTGACAGTTACTGCCAAATTCTTGGAAGTTATATACAGGCGTACCTTGGAGATATTGCAGGTTTGGTTCCAGACCATAGCAATAAAGTGAATAATAATATCACAATAAAGTGAGTCACACAAATGTTTGAGTTCCCTGGTGCATATAAAAGTTATGCTTATACTATACCGTAGTCTATTAAAAGTGTGTGCAATAGCATTGTGCCTAAAAAATGTACATACTTTAATTTAAAAATACGGCTAAAAAATGTTGATCATCTGAGGCTTCAGTGAGTAGTAATCTTTTTTGCTGGTGGAGGGTGTTGCCTCAATGTTGATGGCTTCTGACTGACTGGTCAGGGTGGTGGGTGCTGAAGGTTAGGGTGGCTGTGGCAATTTCTTAAAATAAGACAACAACGAAGTTAGCCTCATTGATTGATTCTTCCATTCACAAAAAACTCTTCCTTTCACAAGAGATAGCTGATAGCATTTTACCCTCAGTGGAATTTCTTTCAAAATTGGGGTCAGTCCTCTTAAACCCTGCCGCTGCTTTATCAACTAAATTTATGTAATATTCTAAATCTTTGTTGTTATTTTGACAATGTTCACAGCATCTTCATCAGGAGGAGGTTCTATCTCAAGAAACCACTGTCACTCATTAGGGTTGAAATCAACTTCTTCTAAACACCTGTTAATGCTGAGGTTTCAACTTCCTCCCATGAATCACAAATGTTCTTAATGGCACTTGAAATGGTTAATCCTTTCTAGAAGATTTTCAACTGACTTTGTTCAGATCCATCAGAGGAGACACTATCTATGACAGCTTTAGCCTTACAAAACGTATTTCTTAAATAATAAGACTTGAAAATCAAAATTACTCCTTGATCCCTGGGCTGCAGAACGGATGTTGTGTTAGCAGGCAGAAAACATTAATCTCCTTGTACATCTTTATCACAACTTCTGGGTGACTAGGTGCATTGTCAATGAGCAGTAATGTTTTTAAAGGCATCTTTTTTTTTTCTGAATAGTAGTCTCAACAGTGGGCTTAAAATGTTCTGTAAAACATGCTGTAAGCAGATGTGCTGTCATCTGGACTTCTTGTTTCCCTAACAGAGCACAGGCAGAGTATATTTAGCATAATTCTTAAGGGCCCTAGGATTTTGAAAAAGGTAAATGAGGACTGACTTCAACTTAAAGTCACTAGCTGCATTGGCTCCTAAGAAGAGAGTCAGCCTGTCCTTTGAAGATTTGGAAACAACCACTGACTTCTTACTAAAATGAAAGTCCTAGATAGCACCTTCTTCCAATGAAAGCTGTTTGCCTACATTGAAAATCTGTTTAGCCACCTTCATCAATGATCTTAGCTAGATCTTCCATATAACTTACTGCAGCTTATCCATCAGCCCATGCTGCTTCACCTTGCACTTTTATGTAATGGAGACAGGTTTCTTTCCTTAAACCTCATGAACCAACCTCCTGTAGCTTCCAACTTTTCTTCTGCAGCTTCCTCACCTTGCTCAGGCTTCATAGGATTAAAGAGAGCTAGGGCTTTGCTCTGAATTATGCCTTGGCGTAAGGGAATGTTGTGGCTGGTTTGATCATCCATCCAAACCACTAACATTTTCTCCATATCAATAATAAGGCTGTTTTGCTTCTTATTATTATTGAGTTCACTGGAGTAGCACTTTTAATTTCAAGAACTTTTCCTTTGCATTCAGAACTTGGCTGTTTGGCCCAAGAGGTCTAGCTTTTGACCCATCTCAGCTTTCAACATGCCTTCCTCACTAAACTTAATCACTTCTAGATTTTGACTTAAAGTGAGAGACATGATCTTTCCTCCACTTGAACACTTAGAGGTCATTGTGGCATTATTAATTGGCTAATTTCAATAATATTGTGTCTCAGGAAATACCAAGGCCCCAGGAGAGGGAGAGTCAGGGGAACAACCACTTAATGGAGCAATCAGAATGCATATAACAGTTATGGATTAAGTGTGCCATCTTATCGGGTACAGTGTGTGGTGCCCCAAAACAATTACAATGGTAACAGCAAAGATCACTGATGATAGATCACCATAACTGATAAAATAATAATGAAAAAGTTGGCAATATTGTGAGAATTACCAAAATGTGACACAGAGACATAAAGTGAGCACACGCTGTTGGAAAAATGGGGCCAATTGACTTGGCCAGAGGGTTGCCACAACATTCAATCAGTAAAAAGCACAATATCTGTGAAGTGCAATAAACCGAAGCAGAATAAAACAAGGTATGCCTGTAAACCCTGGAGGCTTCCCTTTTCTCACTTCCCTCAACTCCCTTGAGGCCTCACAGTCTGGCTGCCACCCCAGTACTTTACAGAAACCACCCACTCAGAGGCCAATGATCTGCTTGTTGCTAAATCAAATGGCTTTTACTTGGTCACAATTATCCTTGATGTCAATGATCATGCTTCCCTACTAGTGACAGCCATCATAATAATACAGAAGCTTTGATACTTAAAAATAGATCAGGTGTTGGCTGGGCATGGTGGCTCATGCCTGTAATTCCAGCATTTTAGGAGGCCGAGGCAGGCAGATCAATTGAGCTCAGGAGGTCGAGACCAGCCCAGGCAACATGGTGAAACCTAGACTCTACAAAAAATACAAAAATTAGCTGAGCATGGTGGCATGTGCCTGTAGTCCCAGCTACTTGAAGGGCTGAGGCTGGAGGATCATTTGAGCCTGGGAGGTCAAGGCTGCAGTGAGCTGTTTGTGCCACTGCACTTCATCTTGGGCAACAAAGTGAGACCCTGTCTCAAAAAGAAAAAAAAAAGCAAAGATCAGGTGTTAATAGGCTGTTTGTAAATTCAGTAGTTAAAAGCATGGGGCTGGGTGTGGTGGCTCACCCCTGTAATCCCAGCACTCTGGGAGGCCAAGGCAGGCAGATCACCTGAGATCAGGAGTTCGAGACCAGACTGGCCAACATGGTGAAACCCTATTTCTACTAAAAAATTAAAAAAAAATTAAAAAAAATAGCTGGGCATGGTGACACGCACCTATAATCCCAGCTACTTGGGAGGCTGAGGCTGGAGAATCACTTGAACCCAGGAGGCAGAGGTTGCAGTGAGCTGAGATTGCACCACTGTACTCCAGACTGGGTGACAGAGCAAGACTCTGTCTCAAAAAAAAAAAAAAAAAAAGCAAAGCAAAGCAGAGCATGGGCTCTGGGGTCAGACTACCTGGTTCAAATCTTGCTTGTACAATTCACTAACTGGGTCCCTTAAGCAAGTTGTGCCTCCGCTTCTAAATCTATAAAATGGGCACATAACACTAACTAGTTCACAGAGTCTTGGTGAAAGTGCAATATGCTTAGAACTGTCTGCCACATATTGCATTCTCAGTAAATGTGAGTTGTTGTTGATGCTATATTTGTAAATCCAAGGAGAACAAGAAGAGATTAAGTTTGCAATCTTCACTCACATATCCACCAAATAGAAATGTTAGTTTAGGCTCTGAAGTTTATGTTTCTCTTTGCCACCGTAAAACATTGCTGTCTTGGACATCCTTCCTTAAAGTGGATCAATTCGTAAACCTGTTGAGGCAGATGAGACCTCCCTCTGCTGACGGTCTCTAGAAATATCTGAGAGGTATGGGCTCCATGACCCAATCACCTGAGATTCATTTTAATGAGGAACAGATTCTAATGAATGAACTTAGCCTCACGGAATGCCTATGGCTTACAACAATCATCTCCAAGCAGCATTTTCTCCCAGCTACCCCTTTACGTTCTCCAACCTCTAGCCATCTCCTGAATTTGCATAAGGCATCTGAAATTGATGCTGAGCTCTAGCCACATATTCCAGATTTTTTCCAGTTTAGTCTTCACTTTTCCTTGCCCCTGGCTAATAACTGTCTTGTGTGTAAACTCAACATTTTTCACATACCGTATGATTCCCTCTTTGTTCTGCACCATCATAATAATCACAATCACAAAGGAAGACGTTGCTTAAGTGCTCACCATGTGCCAAACTCATTTCTAAGTATTTAATATGTATCATCATCCCCATCATCCAATGTCTCACTTCAAAGGCACATGTAGCATTCTGCGTTTTCTCACTTTCTTTTCTTTTTTAAATAAATATAGAATGGTCCTATTGCAATACATTTTCTCACTTTCAATTTTAAAAAATGACCTCTACTTTCATTATGACTGCAACACATTCCTCTCACTGCTTCTGTGCATATAGGAAATAACAGGCTTAGTAAACTTTATGATACCTCAAAACCCACCGCAGATGCAACCAACAAATTATTGATAAGGGACAGCCAGATGGCTAAAGCTAAAATAACTGCCCCAAAGGCTTATTCCAATCTTTGGTGGCTGTTGACGTGCCTTTGCCTGGAGCACAACTTTGTTCCTAGCAATAAAATAGTATAAACTGAAAGATAACTAGAGCAGCTTCCATAGGTTTGTTCCATGTTTACCAGGTCCCAGTCTGTGCTCTCTCTGTGCTAAGAGCTTCACATGTATTATCTTATTTTTGTTTCGTCTTCAAAACAGTCAGGAAGTGACTACTGTTATGATTTCCATTCTACAGACAAGGAAACTGAGGTTAAAGAAGTAATTTGCCCAAGTAATAGTAAGCCAGAATTGAGACACAGGTGCTCCTGACAATGAAGTCTGTCTCAGCCGCCCAATGCCTAGGTTGACTTCTGTCACGGTGTACTCTCCTGGCTTTCTAGCCACTTCTGACTATTGATTCTTTGTCTCCTCTGGCTTCTCTCCTTTTTCCCTTTCTCCATGGACTCTTGAAGTCCTAGAAATGGTCTCTCATTTTCACAGCCACTGAGCTTGATTATAAACCCTCTGGAGCAGGGGTCCCCAACCCCCAGGCAGCGGATCAGTACCAGTCTGTGGCCTGTTAGGAATGGGGCCACAGAGCAGGAGGTGAGTGGTGGGCAAGCAAGCATTACTAGCTGAGCTCCACCTCCTGTCAGATCAGCTGCAGCATTAAATTCTTATAGGAGCGCTAACCCTATTGTGAACTGCACATGTGAGGGATATAGGTTGTGTGCTCCTTATGAGAATCTAATGCCTGATGTTCTGAGGTGGAACAGTTTCATCCCAAAACCATCTCTTCCTAACCCTCCGTGGAAAAATTGTTTCCACAAAACTAGTCCCTGGTGCCAAAAAAGTTGGGGACTGCTGCTCTAGAATCCAACCCGTTCATTCCTGTCTCCCTAAAGACTATGACAGCACCTGGCAATAGTACATACACAATATATTTTTGTTGAATGAGTGAATGAACAAATCACTTTTCTCAAGATTATTAGGAAAATAGTAATCATTTCATTCTAAATGAATGATAGGAGCTTTACCCTTTTCAATTTTCTGGTTTTCTTTGACTCATGTGATGCTGGAGCTCATCAATATAAGACATTGGTTCTCAAGCAGGGGCAATTTTGTCCCTCCACACCCACTCCTCTGGAGACACTTGGCAATGTGTGGAGATGTTTTTAAATGTCACCACTATAGATGTGCAGAGAAGGAGAAGATGCCAGTGGCATCTAGTGGCAAGGATGCTGCCGAACATATGACGTGCAAGACAGAGATGCTGCTAAACATCCTACAATGTGGGTGACAGTCACCCACAACAAAGAGCTATGTGAGTTTGAGGTTGCAGTGGGCTATGATTGTGCCACTGCACTCCAGTCTGGGAGACAGAGCAAGACTCTGTCTGTAAGAACAAACAAACAAAACCAAATATTTTTACACCATCCTTCTCAGTCAAGTGGGCCAAGGGCTTCCTGTCACTTCCACGACAAGGCAGAAATCTATGTGACCCACAGGACTGTGCCCAATATGGCTGTCCACCCCTCCAGTTCATCTCACACCATATTCCCTCTCTCTGTCCTCTCTGTCCAAAAGTCAATAGTGCTGAGGTTGAGAACACTGGTATCAGGGTTTGTTCTTCATAAAACTGGTATCCTGGTATCTGAGGAGGGCCAGGGATGTCTAAGCCCCACTGTTTAGCTGAGTGCCAAGTACTGTAACCTGGGATTAGCACTGCCCTCTGAGCTGAATAGAAGAAACAGGGGAAAATTGGGGATCCATACTGAGGATCCAGAGATCTAATTACTGGTCCTGAAGCCAGGTACCGACATGAGTTACTCCTGTAGGCAAGTTGTTTAACCTCCCTGGGCTCAACTTTTCATCTGTAAAGGGGAAAGGGGGAAGGAGTAAGGTGAGCCCTATCTAGATCTAAAACTCTCTAATTTCAAAGATAAATAGATGGGACTCAATTAACTAAAAAGCTTCTGCATAGCAAAAGAAACAATCAGCAGAGTAAACAGACAACCCACAGAGTGGGAGAAAATCTTCACAATCTAAACATCTGAAAAAGGGCTAATGTCCAGAATCTACAAGGAACTCAAACAAATTAGCAAGAAAAAACAAAAAACAAAAAACAAATAATCCCATCAAAAATGGGCTAAGAACATGGAGAGACAATTCTCAAAAGAAGATATACAAATGGCCAACAAACATATGAAAAAATGCTCAACATCACTAATGATCAGGGAAATGCAAATTGAAACCACAATACCATACCACCTTACCCCTGCAAGAATGGCCATAATCAAAAATATAAAAAAATAATAGATGTTGGCGGGGATGCAGTCAAAAGGGAACAATTTTTTTACACTGCTAGTGGGAATGTAAACTAGTACAACCACTATGGAAAAAGGTGTGGAGATTCCTTAAAGAACTAAAAGTAGAACTACCATTTGATCTAATAATCCTGCTAGTGGGTTTCTACCCAGAGGAAAATAAGTCATTATACAAAAAAGATATTTGCACACGCATGTTTATAGCCGCACAATTCGCAATTGCAAAAATGTGGAACTAGTCCAAATGCCCATCAATCAACAAGTAGATAAAGAAATTGTGGTATATATAAAAAAAATATATAAATATATATAAATATATAAATATATATAAATTATATATAAATATATAAAAAATATATAAATATATAAATAAATATATAAATATATAAATATATAAATATATAAGTATATAAATATATATTTATATAAATATATAAATATATATTTATATAAATATATAAATATATAAATATATATTTATATAAATATATAAATATATATTTATATAAATATATAAATATATAAATATATATAAATATATATTTATATAAATATATAAATATATATAAATATATAAAAATATATATAAATATATAAATATATATGTATATATAAATATATAAATATATAAATATATATGTATATATAAATATATAAATATATATACATATATATTTATAAATATATATATTTATTTGATATATATGTATATATATTTATATATATTTATTATATATTATAAATATATATAAATATTTATAAATATATATAAATATATATATAAATATATAAATATACATATATATAAATATATAAATATACATATATAAAAATATATATAAATATATATAAATATATATATTTATATATTTATATTATTAATATATTAATAATATTAATATAATGATTATATATAAATTATATATATTTATAAATATATATTTATATATAAAATACATATATTTATAAATATATATTTATATATAAAATACATATATTTATAAATATATATTTATATATAAAATACATATAAAATATATTAAAAAATAAATATATAAATATATAACTATATAAATATATATAAATATATAAATATATAAATATATATAAATATATAAATATATATAAATATATATATATAAATATATAAATATATATAAATATATATATATATTTACCATGGAATACTACTCAGCCGTAAAAAGGGATGAAATAATGCCATTCACAGCAACCTGGATGGAACTGGAGACCATTATTCTAAATGAAGTAACTCAAGAATGGAAAACCAAACATCGTATGTTCTCACTCATAAGTGGGAGCTAAGCTATAAGGATGCAAAGGCATAAGAATGATACAGTGGACTTGGGGACTCGGGGGAAAGGGTGGGAGGGTGGTGAAGGATAAAAGACTATACACATTGGGTACAGTGTACACTGCTCGCGTGACGGGTGCACCAAAATCTCAGAAATCACCACTAAAGAACTTATTCATGTAACCAAACACGACCTGTTCCCCAAAAGCCTATTGAAATTTTAAAAAAGAAAAAATAAATAAACAAAACTCTAGTTTTAACAAATTCTGAAACATGAACTTTTTTTAACTGGTTCTCTGTTTCATAACCAATCCCAAGTCAAGCTTTATCTTTACCTTTAAGAACCTCTTGCCACTGTCCCTCTTATTCTTCACTCCCTCTTATTCTTCACTTCTCCACCACTTCCTCCTCCCCGGCACACACATGCATACACACACACTCACACATTCACACACACCCACACCCACACACACTCTCACATTCACAGACTCACACATCCACACACTCACCCATCCCACACACACACTCACTTATACCCCCCACACACACCCACCCCACACACACTCACACCCACCCACCCTCCCACACACACACCCACCCTCCCACACACCCACACACACACTCACACACACACTCACTCTCTTCCTGCATCCGGGCCCTCATTGTCACCACTTGGATTACAGCAAGAAACTCCTAACTGACCTCTTTTTCTCCAGGGTTAAACATTTTAACCTGGATTCCCAGCAGCCATATAGCCTAAGGTATGTTTTCCTCCTCCTTGTAGAAGAGCTTCTCATCCTCCCCAGAGAGTTGCTCGTGTTTCAGATTCCTTCTGCAAGGAAGCTTCTCTGAAGTCAGCAGAATTGCCTCTTTTTTGCTCACATTCTAGTGCCAGGTTCCATTTTCCTCTTGTGATTTTTCACCACCCCTTTCCTGCAGCTAGGAGAGCAGTACTGGCCCTGGATTACAGTGCTCAGCACTCAGCTAATTGGTAGGGCTTATAAATCCCAGGCCCATCTCAGCCAGCAGAGCATAGGTTTTAGGAAATAATAATAAATCCATACATCTGTGTGCTTACAATGTGTCCAAGCATCACCTAGGCCACAGAATGGGGAAGATGTGCCTCAAACACACTGTGAGAGGCTGGGGTAGGCTCATTGTTTCTGCCTGCCAAAGACGGGCACCACGGGATTCCAGAGAAAGAACAGAAGGCCCCTCGCCTTCCTTCCCATGAACAATCGACCAGAAGGAAGCGGGATACTTGGCCAGGACTTCCCTGCAGGAAACCTGGGTCCTACTCGGGCCTCCTGTTTCCCCTCCCTCACTGGCCCTGGTTCAGTTCCAGGTGAATGATCAGCCTGTTTGGTAAACAGATGCCAGAAAGAGGCAAGTACAAGCTCCTATGGAATTTTTTTTTAACTTTAATTTAGTTGCTTTTAGAAACAACAGTTTTTGAAATCTTCAATTTTTCTTTTTTTTTTTTTTTTTGGCAGAGTCTTGCTGTCACCCAGGCTGGAGTGCAGTGGTGCAATCTCAGCTCACTGCAACCTCCGCCTCGCGGGTTCAAGCTATTCTCCTGCCTCAACCTCCCAAGTGCTGGGATTACAGGCGCCCGCCACCATGCCCGGCTAATTTTTGTATTTTTAGTAGAGATCAGGTTTCACCACGTTGGCCACACTGGTCTTGAACTCCCGGCCTCAAGTGATTCGCTCACCTTCGTCTCCCAAAGTGATGGGATTACAGGTGTGAGCTACCACACCCAGCCAAAATCTTCAATTTTTCAGCGAGGGATGCTAAGGACATTTTACATCAAATGTACCCTGAACATACTGTGTGCCTGATACCCCGCTTGGCCCTGAGAGAATAGGAAAGAACAAATCTTTTACTATACGTGAGTGGTCACGGGCTAGCTAACTAATTTTCTGAACTCCACTGCTCATCAGTAAAGTAGAGACATTGGTAGCGGAGTTATAGGGGTGTTGTGATGTCATTCAATATTGATTATCTGTGAAGACATCTGGCACCATTTCTGACACACAGCAATCTGCTTGAACTTGGCATCAATTATTCATTCTAAAATAATTTTTTTAAATAGCTATTAATATGAAAATATGTAAGACAAAGACCCAACTCTCTCAGATCTTACTTACAGTTATGGTTATGACACAGCCATGTGAGATTATTAATTTATGATGCAAATCAATACAGCATAGAATTACCAGCCCAAATGGGCAAGGCAGACAGAGGTGCCCGGAAGTTCCAGGAAGGAGATAAACACATGGTCGGAAGAGGCGGGGACTTGGTTAGTTAAAGCAGGAGTGGGATTCGGATGCATAGAAAGGTGAGGCAGGGAACTCGGGCTTTAGGCACTGTGTCACCTTCGATTTACATCCTTCATTTCTCTCTCCAAGGATATATCCATGGAGTCTTTCATACCTCATCTGCCTTATTAAATAGGAACAATAGATACCGTGAAGGCTGTTTTACAGATGAAAACAACCAAGGCCCAGAGAAAGCCATGCAGCCAAGCTATCACCTTGGTTTTGGCTAAGAAGAGTATGGGGTGAAATGTTGTGAAGTTAAGGGGACCAGCATGTCAAACACAGCTACAGGAGCAAACTAGAAGACTACTCCCGCAGCTGTTAGAGTAACGACCACAATAATAAGAACCAAGCCAACAACAAACTGTTAACATGTACTGAGCACTTACTGATTGTGCCAGACATACTGGAAAATGCTAAATGTGCATTGATTCATTTGATTCTCATAATGGCCCCATGAAATAAGTATCATTATCATAATCTTATTATGGCTCTTTTACAGAGGAAAAATGGAGGCTTGGAGAGATTCAGAAACTTTTCCAGGGTTGCAAAACCAGGTCTATCTATCCCAAAGTTCAGGCCCTGAACCACCATAGGAACTTTTTTCCCCCTCCCCAAGCTCCTGAATCTTGCAGAGACCAGGTCCTCCTGAAATACTTTAGAAGGAGGCTATGTAAGGATCTCGCCCTTACATGCTGGCTGGACCATCATCTGCTTGACAAGAAGTGGATATCAGTGGTTCAGGGCACAGCCTGGAGCATGGGTAACAGTTCCTTTCTCCTCTCTAGGATGTGAGGGCAGCTTTTATTTCTTCCATGCTTGCCCTCTCTTCTTCAGGCTCAGCAAGCTCCACTCCTCTTGACAGCACTTCCACACTCTTCACCTTCCCAGTCTCTGTCTTCAGCAAACATCTAGTTTGTCCATGTCTGCCTTACAACTCAGCACCCCAAAATTAAAAGGAAGTCCTAGATATGGTTTGACTGTTGCAAAAAACACTGGGACTGTCCCCTCTATTAATCAGAAAATTATACTTTCATTACCACCATCTCAAACTAGGTTAGGCTTTTAGCAACTGATGGTTTCTTGAAGCTTGTGGTCAATCAAAATCCCCTTAAATCAAGTCAAAACTGTCCCATTCCATAGGCAAAGTCATTTCTATACATCTGGGAATTCCCACTGCATATGTATTTCATTTTAGGAACGTGAAAAAGAAATTATGAAACAATACATGTGTTTCATTTCAAATCAAAGAAAACAGAAATGAATAAAGAAAAAATGAATAATCACCCTACTGCCAATCCCACCCTTTTTCTCCCCAAGGTAACCAGTATTAATAGTTTGGAGCCTATTCTTATAAAACACATACACGATATTCAAAGTTTCTTTTCAAAGATATTATACACTATGCAAAGTATCTGCAAACCATGACTGGTAGACAAAATCTGATCCACTGCTTGCTTTTGTAAATAAAGTTTTATTGGAACACAGCCACGCCTATTCTTTTGTGTATTGTCTATAGCTGTTTTTGCACTACAATTGCCAAGCTGAGTAGTTGTAGCAAAAACTGTATGGCCCACAAAGCCTACAATATTTACTATTTGGCTCTTTACAAAAAGCTGTTTGCCTATTCCCATCCTATGTACTATACTAGCTTGGTTTTTCATTTAAGTAAACATTGTGGTCTCCCTTTAGGTCACTGCCTACGGAGCTAATATTCTTTTAAAAGCTATCTAGTATTTCATAATATGAATGCTCCACAGTTTCGTCTATTATTTCACTATTGCTAGACACTGAAATTGTTTTCAGGTTTCTGTCACTATGGACAATGCTGTAATAAAACACCCATTTCTTTTTTTTTTTCTTTGAGATGGAGTCTCACTCTGTGGCCCAGGCTGAAGTGCAGTGGCGCAATCTCGGCTCACTACAAGCTCCGCCTCCCGGGTTCACGCCATTCTCCTGCCTCAACCTCCCGAGTAGCTGGGACTACAGACTCCTGCCACCACGCCCGGCTAATTTTTTGTATTTTTAGTTGAGCCGGGGTTTCACCATGTTAGCCAGGATGGTCTCGATCTCCTGACCTCGTGATCCACCCGCCTCAGCCTCCCAAAGGGCTGGGATTACAGGCATGAGCCACCACGCTCGGCCTAAACACTTATTTCTTAAATCCTTCAGAAGGCTGGGCCGGTGGCTCATACTGTAATGCCAGCACTTTAGGAGACTGAGGCTGGAGGATCGCTTGAACACAGGAGTTTGAGACCAGCCTGGGCTCAAATAATAAGGCCCCATCTCTACAAAAATATTAAAAAATAAATCCTTCAAAAGATGGATTTATTTTTTGAAATAAATCCCAAGATGATAAGGCCCCATCTCTACAAAAAAATTAAAAAATAAATCCTTCAAAAGAAACTGAGTATAATGAAGAGAGCCAAGGGGCTCTCAAGAGAAATACAGCCCTAATCTCAAACGTGACGCTCTCACTGTGTCAATAAGCCTCTTCAAGCAGCAGTTATAGCCAGCCCTGGGTGTTGCCACGCTCCCGTGAAAGGAATTATACTTTTAGGAAACAGAATATGTCTCCAAGTGAAAATCTTGTCCTGATAGACTCACCTAGACGCTTCCCAGCTTTCTGCCGAAGCACAGAGCTTTTCCCGGAGCATCTGCTGTTACCTGACCTACCCACACCTCCCACTAAACCCTCCATTACAACCATTAGGCTGGGGCACCTACCACTGCATCCAGACAGGGCTTTCTGCCACTGCCAGGGCAAGAGGCACCTTGGAACAGGGGAGGAGGAGTTAGGCTCAGGAGAGAAGATACCTTTGATCCTAGAGATAGAGGGAATATACACACAGGTCACTTGTTTCTAATCTTTTGGGGATCACAGACTCCTGAAAGCTATAGACCTTGTCTCACCAAAAACTATGTCTGTTTTTTTTTCTGCATGAATTCTTCATAAATTCAGGGCATGCACAGAATTCCTGAAAATGCTATCCACGGGGCACAATCCCTAGGTTAACAACCGCAGCTCCAGGTACACTGCAATCATGTTCCCTACGGCGGGTTACACACTGCAATCATGTTCCCTATGGCAGGTTACCCGCCCCTTGTCAGGAGTTTAAGACACAGCATATCTCTCTGTGATTCATTAACACTTCCCTTCCTCCCATCATCGACCTTGTGCCTGCTGTTCCAAAGGACTTCCTTGGGCTGGCAGTCACGTGCCCCCTTCTTCCTCTACCTATCCTGTTTGGGAAGATAAACTGACTTCCTAGCCCTCAAACCACCTCTCACCGGGTGCAGAACACAACCATCAGTCCCACGGGCCAACACCGTCCTTCCTGCCGCTGCTCTCACCCTGACCTCCCTTCCTAGCCTCCAGTCAAGCCCAAGCTGGAAAGACCCTTTTCTCTCTAGCCCTTTGCCATCTGGAAAAGCCTTCTGGAACATTCCTGAAGGCTGTAAATCTTTGTGAACTAGTTTTTCCTTTCTGGCCCCTGCCTGAAAATTTGATGACTTTGTTGTTGCTAAATTTTAACAAATCAAGCTTGGCAAAAATGCTTCAAAAATGCCAAATTCAATAGTCAAGGAGGAGCTCCATGGGTATTTGTGCTGCCCCTTCCTTACTGGTCAGAAAAGTAGCACTAATTAAACCTGATGGCTGGTCAGTTCATTCTCAGTCAGAATCCTCATGGTTTTCATTTATCTTGATTTTTTAATCTCAGTCTTGAAAAGTAATGCTCATTTTTTGTTATTTACAAAAACAGAGTGCACTTTTTGCATTCTAATGCCTCATAATGTCCATTAAACTGTTCTTGCCCTTTGACCCAGTAATACCCTTTCCAGAAATCTGCCCTGATAAAATACTAAGAAATATAAACAAAAATCACCTTCAGAGATGGCCGTTTTGTTGTTATTGACAATAGCAAAAGTACAAATGAAGTTAATGTCCAAAACAGGTGGTACAATATAGCCATAGAATGGAACATTATGTTTGCCTTAAAAATGATGTCAATAACTTTTAATAATATCAAGAAATATTTATAACATGTTAAGGAAGCAAAACACAAAACTGTAAATACAGTGCAATCTCAACTAAATGTGCATGGAAATAGGTCTGGAAGTAATACACCAAGACTTAACATGATTTTCTGTGAGTAGTGGAATTAGACTATTTCATACATTTATATATTTTCTGATTTTTCTATGAGCATGTGATTTTTTTTTTTTGAGACAGAGTTTTGCGCTTGTTGCCCAGGCTGGAGTGTGCAGTGGCACAATCTTGGCTCACTGCAACCTCTGCCTCCCAGGTTCAAGTGATTCTCCTACCTCAGCCTCCTGAGTAGCTGGGATAACAGGCACATGCCACCACACCTGGCTAATTTTTGTATTTTTAGTAGAGACGGGATTTCTCCATGTTGGCCAGGCTGGTCCCGAACTCCTGACTTCAGGTGATCCACCCGCCTCGGCCTCCCAAAGTGCTCGAATTACAGGCGTGAGCCACCGCACCCCACCAAGCATGTGATATTTTAAAAAAAAAAAAACAACATAAAACTTATTTCTACATTGTAAAAAGAGCATGGGCTTTAGAACCAAATGCCCTAGATCTATATTCTGACTGTGTCCTTGGATAGGTGACTTAAGCTTTCCAGACCTGTTTCCTCAACAGTAAGTGGAGGTAATAATAGCATTTACATCACGGCGTCATTGCGAGAATCACATACCTTATGTACGTATACTTAGTTTCTTTTTGGTAAGTGATGGAAACCACTATAAAGGCTGATGGGTGAAAGTTAGCTGCTCTTCTACCACCTGAGAGCAAATCTCAGACCAAATCTTCCACACTACCAACATCTGCTCAACTTTTAGAGTGAGCAGAAATAATGTGGTTCCTACAGCCTTTACTGCGTGCTCAGTGAAGTCTTTGTTCACTGTCTTTTTAGCTGTTCAGGCCAACCTCCACCTTGCATGAAAGGGTCCCCAAGGTAAGTGAAACCATATTTCAGAGGCAAGGTTGTGAGACCTTTACAGACAGCCTCAGGCAACAAAGAAATCCTCTAAGTAGCTAGATGGAGGAACTTACAAAGGTCAAGGCGTCTTATATACTTTTCACACAGGGTAGACACTAACAATACTTTTTGTCTAATCTGCAAATCTTGCATATCACTCACTGAGAGTACATGTACTCCCTTACAGATGTTGAACTAGAATTTGTCTCTCTTTTCTGTTTTTTTAACATTTGAAACAATTCTGAATGCATTTCTGATCAACATGGAATTCTGATACAAATCACACAAGCCAGTCACATCTTGGTCCTGAAGGAATCATTCTGGGGTCTTTGCCCAGCTGCCTTTGAGATCGTCAGCCCTTCATGCTAAATTGTGAATCCCCATAAGCTGCCAATCACTTTAAGAATCGCTTTTGCAAAACCATGATCTCCTCGAAACATCAAATTGTTCTTGCCTTTCAATTTAACAATTCACTTATTGAAGTCTGTTCTAAAGCAGTTCTATCCAGTGCCCAGCATGCAGTCCCTGGTGCATCACCAGTATTTTTTTAAATGCCTGCAGGTTTTAAGGAGAGACTATGAGAAAAAAACAATGTGCCAAAGTGACACATGAATTAATTTTTTCCCATTTCTTTCTAAAGTGCGGCTATATTTAAAGGGAGAAGAAGACTGGATTGTAAAGGGTCTCTGGTCAGAACACTGAGAGGAAAGAGTCAGCCCTGACCCTGAAGTTCCTAGGACCAGAAAGGGTGCCCCATCCCACCCGTTTCCAAGTCTCGCTGAACCTCAAGGGATCCTAGAAGGAGGCCTGCTTGGGTGTTCTGAGAGTTCTCCATTCAGGGTGGTTTTATCAGAGAAATTGAACCAGAAAGTACTCTGCTCAGATAACAGGATTAATTAACATTCTTCTCATTCTTCAAACAACTGATCAGTGTGGAATACCACCCATGTCTTACTGGAGGTAGACCTGGCACACATAGAGCTGCCTGAGACTCTCCTGGGATTTCTCGAAGTCATTTCTTTCTCCTGAACCCTAGGCTTCCCTAGGGATAATGTATAATAATAACACTCCCCTTTGTTCTTATGGGGCATATTTCGCCCCCGTCTGCCCTACTGATCTCCAGCTTTATATTTCCAGGTTAGTGTTGATAGACCAAAGCCAGCCTACATAATAAAGATAATGGTGATAATAATACGGTTTATAGAAACTTCTCTACAGACTGGTACTAGGCTAAGCACTTGGTGTTCACCAATTCACCCTTAGTTGAGCCTTCATGGAGTGCGGAGTAGGACATGGGGAGTGCCTCAGCTCCCTCTGCCGACCCACCTTGAGTCTGCTGTATCCTCCCAAAAAGATCTGCCTCCATCAAGACGTTCAGAAACAATGGCTACTTTGCTGAAGACGTTATGCAGAGACGGGCTTGTAGATGGAATCACAGCGTGGACCAAACAGTAGGTACTTTGAAACATTTCCATTAGCTGTCCAATGTCCACCCAACATTTCTTTCCGCTTCCAGTTGTCTCTTCGTTTCTCCTGTTCTCTTCCCCACCTTTGCCTCTTTAATTCCCTTGGATATTCCAGAGCCATTAAGCACTGGCTCTCACCTTGCAAAGCCCACCTGACATCTCAGCTTCTGGAAAACCAGGTAAACACCACAGAGCCCAACGACTTGACCTCAAGCTCTTGTCTTGTGAGGAGGGGGTTCTTAGCAAATTCTGGCCACTATTATTATCTGATATAACCCTTACAACATTTATGAGAGGCAAGAGCTCTGTACTGTTATTGTTCCCATTTTGTGCAGCAAGAAACAAGCTCATGGTCACTTGGCCAGATTCAGAATTGGGAGCTCCAGAGCTGTGGGTGGTCTTAATGGCTCTGCTTACTGTGACGGCATGTCCCATTGAGCTCCAGATAGTTCCAATTGAAGCCTGTGTTCTTCACTCTCAAAGCACTCTGGTCTGGAATCCTATGATCATCTTAACTATGTATGCTAGAGGCTTGTCCATTGTTACATCCACAGCACCTGGCATATCGAAGTACCCAGTGAATATCTTCAGCTCTCAGGTTGGTCTTTGGACAGCCGTCACCCCCTTGAACCAGCCATATTCCCTTTGCCTCTGAATTATAGAAGCTTTCAAATGAAATTCTGACTTGAGCCAAGCGTATAGAGGGCTCACTTTCCCATGGCTGCCAGGCAAGTAACCCTGCCCCCAAATTAATCTCTCTCTGTGTGACAGGCTCCATTTATCATGTTGTGGACTCTGCAGCACAGGGAGGCTCAGGAAGGATGGGCGACCACCGTGGATATTGGCATAAAGGCCAGTATGCTTACTTAGTCCAGCACCATGTTTCATATCTGCCTCTCCATCTGCCTGCCTTTCCCGGAGAGAATCTGGGATGGAGATGGATTACATTTGTTTATGGGCTTATGTTTCAAATGAGAGTTGGACGGAGGCTTAATAGAATTAATTAATTCCCTCTGTTCCATGAGAGATAGAAGAAAGCTCTCTCTACCACAGCTGGCTCTGAGATGGCCCCAGAGTCACTGCTAGGTGTTCAGCTGGGATCCTTTGATTGCCCCCATCTCTAGTGCAAGTTCAACTTTGTTTAGAGCAATAAAGAAAAACAGTCTTTCCCTGCTTGCATGTTATTTGTATAGGAAATCAGCTCTGGGGTTTTTGTAGTTTTGATGTGTCAGCTTCAGGCAGCACAGGGGGCAGGGGCAGTTTCCTCCCTGCTTCTCTCTCCTTTTAGAGCAGAGACACAAATTCCATTCTCTGTATTGAGAGGTAACAGTGCAGAGCTTCAAAGCAAAGACTCTGAAGCCAGAATGCCAGGGTGTGAGTCCCAGACATTTCACTACTAGTGTGGCCCCAGTTCCCTCATCTGCAAAGTGGTGCCAGTGTAACAGTACCTCTTCCCAAATTGGCTGCAGTGATAAAAAGTAAAGCACTTCGAACAGTGTCTGACACATAGTGTTATATGCATGCGCACTCTGTATCATTATTATCAGTTATTATTTGTGACAAGCTAGAAAGGAAAATGAATATGGCTATAAGGGCCCAAGTCATAGGGAGGAGGGACTGTGCCATCTTAGACAGCACATACCCCATCTGCACTTGGCAGCCTGAGCCCATGGGCATACAGACCCAGTGTTTCCAAAATAGGCCAGTTTTTCAAGAGAAACTAAAAATCCAGACTTTGTGTGACATCTAATTTGCAAATGCTGACAACAAATTTAGAAACATTATTAAATACTGGGCTGGACAGAACAAAACCACACAGATTGGTGAGCCCAGTCCAGCAGGGGGGCTCCAGACTGCAGCCTTTGCTCAGTTACTCCTTCCTGTCACTGCAGAATGGATGAGATCAAAGCTGTACACAGAAACACAGCTGTGCACTGGATGGCAGCAACTGTGCTGTAAGGACGCAAGGAGGGAGAGACCAGAGGTTGAGAGCTCAGAGAAGAAGTTGGGTGCAGTCATTTAGGCAAAACACAGAAAGAGGGAGGGACAGAGGGCTGGCAGCTGAGACTCGGATGGGGAGTGGTAGGTTGGCAGTGCCCAGGCTGGGGCAAGGCCATCCCAGCCCAAGAAAGCTTCCTAATGGGGTGGGGTAGCTGGCATTGTCCACATTGTGGATGGATATTTTAAATAAAGGCAGTAAATCTTTAAATTATGAGACCACCATTGTTTTCCAGTCACCTTCTTACCATAGTGACTAAGAGCCTAGGCTCAGGAATCAAGCTGCCTGGATTAAATCCTGGCTCCACCCCTTACCAGCTGTGTGAGTTTGGGCAAGTAACTTAACCTCTCTGTGCCTCATTTTTATCTGTAAAAATTAATGGTGTGTACCTCCTAGATGTCAAAAGAAAGAAATGAAATGATATACATGAAAGACTAGCATAGTGCCTAGCACATAGAAGTTAATAAATATTATTGTGAATATGTTATAATAATTTAAATAAGTGTCAGCTTTTATTCCTCAATAAACCAACAGGGATTTACAAAGTACTTAATATATACAAGTTTTAAAACCAGATTCCAAGGCCAGGCATGGTGGCTCACTCCGGTAATCCCAGCACTTTGGGAGGCCAAGGTGAGTGGATCGTCTGAGGTCAGAAGTTTCAGACCAGCCTGGCCAACATGGCAAAACCATGTCTCTACTAAAAATACAAAAATTAGCTGGGTGTGGTGGCCGGCGCCTGTAATCCCAACTACTCAGGAGGCTGAGGTGGGAGAATTGCCTGAACCCAGGAGGTGGAGTGTATTAGTCCATTTTTACACTGCTGATAAAGGCATACCTGAGACTGGGCAATTTACAAAAGAAAGAGGTTTAATTGGACTTGCAGTTCCACATGGCTGAGGAAGGTCTCACAATCATGATAGAGGGCAGAAGGTACTTCTTACATGGTGGTGGCAAGAGAGAATGAGGAGGAAGCAAAAGTGGAAACCCCTGACAAACCCATCAGATCTCATGAGACTTATTCACTATCACGAGAATAGCACGGGAAAGACGGGCCCCCGTGACTCAGTTACCTCCCATTAGGTCCCTCCCACAGCACGTGGGAATTCTGGGAGATACAATTCAAGTAGAGGTCTGGGTGGGGCACAGCCAAACCATACCACGGAGGTCGCAGTGAGCCAAGATCACGCCACTGCACTCCAGCCTGGGCAACAGAGTGAGACTTTGTCTCAAAAAAACCAGATTTCATAGGCAATATGAGGATTTTGAGGAGTGGTCCAACATCTTATTCCATACAAAATTCCCAACACAGAGCATGATGTCACATGTGAACTATGAGGCCAATAAATATTCCCTACATAAGGGGATCCTGCCGTCAGGGAATCTAGAATGAGGGGTTGAAGTGAGGGGTAAGATCTAAGTGTGTAAAAAATTAACAATGAAAGATTTTAGCTTTTCAACTAATCCAAAGAAGAGAAATCCAAGGCAGAAGAGAGTGATTATCTGAAGAGATCTCATGGTCATTTCTAGAAGAGTGCCACGTCAGAAGTCATTTCAGATTCCAGCAATTACGGGAAAGAATCATGGAAACAAAATTACAGCTTGGATGTCAAGCAAGAAAGCATTTCAAGCGGGGTGAATGAATGGAGAGAAAGTGACAAATACAAGGTGTGTTTTAGAGACTGTGAACAAAGGAGCTCAATGGGGATAGAGTATTAAGAACTGCAAGTAAGTAAAGGAAACCTGAAAAGCTGGGTTGATACTTGATTGAGAAAGGCCTTCAATGCCAGGCTATGGTAGAGACTACTAGATGTCTCCCCTTCTTCCTTTTTAACAAGACATCTAATTTATTTTCCTAGCATAGACTGTATTTATCAGCCTTACTGGTAGCTGGGTATGGCCACGTGACAAAGTTCTAAAGAATAAGACTTAAAGGAAAGTCCTATGCACAAATTCTGGAATGTGAACATAATGGCTGAAACTTTGGCACCATCTTAGATCATGAGGCACAATGTTAAAGATGATGAAAGGAAAAGAAAGGGACCAACCTCCCTGATGAATATATCAGCCTGGGACATCTGACCTCTGAACTGTTTCACATTAAAGAAACTTCTTTGTGATATAAGCCATTATTATTTTGGATCTTAACCTGTGCCTGAAATTATTCATAACTGATGAGCAAGCCAAAGACTTCACACTTTCGTCCTGGAGCAGCAGGCAACCATTGGAAGTTTAGGAGCAGGCAGGTTGTAAGATGAATATGTGGTGTGGAGGATACCATGCGGAACAATATGGCAGCAACTGTGCAGGAAGGACGCAAGGAGGCTAAGAGCTCAGAGAGGAAGTTGAGTGCAGCCATTTAGGCAAGAAGAATAAATGAGCATGTGCTGAAACCTGTTTGGAGGTAAAACCATTCTAAGAATTGGGATTTTAAAAAGTCATAAATACACAAGAAAATTTTCTTAGTCCATTTGGAATGCTGTAACAGAATGCCCTAGGCTGAGTAATTTACAAAGAGCATACATTTATTGCTCACAGTTCTGGAGGCTGGGAAGTTGAAGATCAAGATGTTAGAGGGCTAGATGGTGAAGTCTTGCTCACTGCTTCATAGATGGCACCTTTTGCTGAGTCCTCACGTGGCAGAAGAGGGGAGAAGCCGGAAGGGGCAAGTAGACTTCTCTAAGCCCTTTTGTAGGAGCACTAATCCCATTCAGGAGGATGGAGTCCTCATGGCCTAATCACCTCTGAAAGGCCCTCCTTCTTAATACTATTGCATTGGGGGTTATTAATTTTGGGGGGATGACCCATGGGGGAATGACCCATGACCCAGCGACCGTGGCAAATACAATGCATTTTGAAAATGTTGAAAAGGTTGTTGCTTTTTAGCAACAACCTTTATGGCCTAACTCCTCTATGTCTTGGTTTCTTCTTCATCTATATGATAATGGAGATAATAATTTACATGCCAGGATAACTGTAAAGATATTTATTTATTTATATATGTTTGTAGTATACCTGTAATGTGCCCCCACACAGTGCTAGATGCTCAGGATACAGAGGTCGACAAAACTCTTAAGAAACAGAGGTACCCATCTATGAGGGACAAAGCCAATAAGTAAATAATGATATGAGATAATTTCTTCAGTGACAATTGCTATGCAGTTTAGAAAACTATGGTACATAGGTGTATTACAGGTGGCATGCAAGAGGATTCTAAATGGGAAGCAGACATTTTTAATTGTAATAGCTATATGTTTATAACACATCTTAGAAAAATACATGCTTTTCTATTGATGAGAATGACGTTTATTTATTCAACAAACATTACTTAAGCACCTACCAGGTACTAGATTAGGCACTAGGGGAATACAGCAGAGAGCAACACAGAAAAATCCCTGACATACCAGCGCTAGCATTATACCTTAAAAAAAAAAAAAAAAAAAAAAGGCCAGGCGCGGTGGTTCAAGCCTGTAATCCCAGCACTTTGGGAGGCAGAGGCAGGCAGATCACTTGAACCCAGGAGCTCAAGACTGGCCTGGGCAACATGGCAAAACTCAGTCTCTACTAAAAATGCAAAAATTAGCCGGGTGTGATGGTGCATGCCTACAGTCCCAGCTACTTGGGAGGCTGAGGTGGGAGGATTGCTTGAGCCCAGGAGAAGGAGGTTGCAAGTGAGCTGTGATCGTGCCACTGCACTCTAGCCTGGGCAACAGAGACCTCATCTCAAATTAAAAAAAACAATTAGTTTTCTTTTTAAAATACATTTAAGTTTGAAAAAGAGAGTCTATTTTTTAAGTAAACAATGCCTGGTTGGTTGGCAGATATGGCAAAAATGGTGAGGGTGATACAAAATCAGCCACATTTGGATGTGCTGGGTCTGAGGCAGCTCACTAAGTACCCATGGGAAGAAGGGTTGTCCAGGCTGGTGCTCTCTCCTCGAACCTCATGGCCACATTCCCTCTCATGTTCTGCCTGCCTCCTCCCGTTTTCACCCCAAGTCATGCAGTTACTCCTTTGACTATGTTCTGCGGCTTACACAAGATTAAATCAGAGTATTTCCATTTCAAAATATAAGAAAACCCACTAATAGGATTCACTGCGGCAAAGCTTTGTAAATGAATAAATGAAGAAAACTTTGAATAAGAAAATATTTATAAAGAAAAGTCGTTTCACTTTTGCTTATTATATAGTTGGCTAACCGTGAGTCACACTATGGAGAACATGGTTTTTTGAATCTATATTAATATCCTATAATTATCCTGTCAAAGCTCCCACTTAAGTAGACCATGTTGTATTTGCATTCTAAATAAATACCACGTACTCAAGAATAATTTTTCTCCTTGAGTAGATCAATAGAGCCCTACTTCTCCAGTTAAATGAACAATATAACCATATCACAAGGTGTGGCTGCTTTCCCTGGAGCCTGCTGCACACCAGTCCTGTTTCTACCCTAAATAATTCAAATTTCCCTTATAGGAAAACAGGCATCAATGAACTGTACAGTAACTTTCATTTCCACAAACTTTACTCATTTCACATTACCCCCCAAACACCACACACACACACACACTGCCACCCAAGCAGACAATATTTATAGAAAGGTTTCTACTCAGCCAAGCATGGTGGCTCATGCCTATAATTCCAGCACTTTGGGAGGTCGAGGCAGGCAGATCACTTGAGCCCAAGAGCTCGAGACCAGCCTTGGCAATGTGGAGAAACCCTGTCTCTACAAAAAATACAAAAATTAGCCTGGCGTAATGGCGTGCACCTGTAGTTTCAGCTACTTGGGAGAAAGGCTGAGGTCGAGGCCACAATGAGCCATCATTGCACCACTGCACTCCAGCCTGGGCCACAGAGTAAGACTCTGTCTTAAAAGAAAAAAAAAATCTCCACTCAAAACATAGATGGAGACTTAAATAAACATTTTTGGTGGTGGTACAGATCAAATGATAAGATGAAATACTATTCAGCATTTCAAAAGCAATACCTAACAAAGATAATTAGTGGGTGAGTGAGTGTTTTGCAGTCAGAGCTCAGTGGAAGTGTTTTGCAGTCAGAGCTCAGTGGAAGTACAAAATTATTCCTTAGCAACCTCAGATCAATTAACAATATGAATTATATATAATGGATTCATTCATTTGATCACTCAACAAAAGTTTATTTAGTTCCTTCTGCCTTGCTAAGTACTGAGTTAGATTCCAGAATACAAAGGTGAACAAAAGGAGCTTACAGTCTAGTGTATGAGGAAGATGTAATCAAATTACCACACAAATATAAAATTACGAACTGTGAGGAGTGCTACATAGAAAAGGTAAGTGTAAAACAAAAAGGAGGCCTGACCTATGCTGAAGAGTTTAGATCAACCAACCAAAAGCCAAAGGATAAAGAGTGGTTAACCAGGCAAAGAGGGAGGGGAAAGGGTTACAAGCAAATTGAAATAGAGTAAATAATAACCTTGATGGTGTACCAGAGGAGCTGAAGCCAGCAAATACTTGGTGGAGTTCAGAACTAGTCAAGAGTAAGGTACAAGGCAGGCAAGGGCCAGATTGCACAGGTTCTTGGAGGCCATGGCCAGGAGCTTGTTTGGACTATATTCTGAGACCAGTGGAAAGCCACAGAAGAACTTTAAGTAGAGAGGGAAATACAATCAGATGTACATTTTGAAAACCAGATACAAGTGGCAGTGTCAAAAATACCTGCTAATTGTCCCTCAGTATCCATTTTTCCTTTCTCCCACAGTCATGAAATTTCCCCGGGACCCAAGACCACCATCCAGGATAAAGACTACATTTCCCAGCCTCCTTTGCAGTAGGTGTGTCTCTGTGACTAGAAGATGGCCAATGGCATGTGAGAAGAATTGCCAAGTGGGAGGGGCTTCTAAGAGACTCCCATGTGCTCTTCGTTTTCTTTGGCCCTTCCTCCATGGTGCAGCCTGGAAACCAGATGCTACCCATCTTGGACCATGAGGATGAAGCCTGTTGTGCAGGAGCAGCACAAAAAGGGGATCCTGGGTTCTTGACAGTGTGGACTGCTTTACTAGCCTTGGACAGCTCCTTTTACTTTTTAATTTATTGAGCTATAATCTACATACACTTTTTATATACAATAAACCCCTGCATCCATTTAAAGTGTACAATTTGATTTGTTCTGGCAGTTGTATACAACTGTGCAACTACCAACACAACCAAAGTTCAGAACATTTCTACCATTCCCAGAAGATTTCCATGCCCTTTTGCAATTCATCCCCAACCCCACACCCAGAATGAGGCAATCGCTGATCCACTTTCTGTCACAGACTATTTCTCATTTTCTATAGCTTTCTATAAACTGACTCATATGTGACACACTCTTCTGTGTCTAGCTGCTTCCATTCAGCATAACTATTTTGAGATTAATCCATGCTGTTCTATAAATAGTTCATTCTTTTTTATGAGTGAGTTGTATTCTGTTGTATGGTTGTGCCACACTTCATTTAATCCACTCAGCAGTCAATGGACATTTGGGTTGTTTACTGTTTGGGGCTATTGTGTACATAAATGTGAACATTTACATACAGTCTTTATATAGATGTATGCTTCATTTCTCTGGGAGAATACCTGGGAGTGGAATGGCCAGGTCGTATGGTAGGTGTATGTTTAGCAATATGGGAAACAGCCAGTTTTTCAAAGTAAGTGTGTCATTTTCCATCCCCACGAGCAGCGAATAGGAGTGCCATTTGCTCCAGATCTTCCCAATACCTGGTATTGTCAGTCTTTTGAATTTTAGACATTCTAATGGGTTCTCAATAGGCTACCTGGATTTTTATATGAGTAAAAAATAAAATTTTAAGTTGTCCTTAAGCCACATTATTTTGGATTTGCTATCACTCTTAGCCAAAGCTAAATTCTATTGAATATAGAAAACAAGGAAGAAAGAGGAAGACCAGTTAGGAGACTCCTGTAGTTCAGACAACAGATGATGGTAGATTGGAGTAGGGAAAGCCAGTGGACATGGAGAAAAATGAATGGTTTATTAGTCCATTTTACATTGCTATAAAGGAACACCCAAGACTGGGTAATTTATAAAGAAAAGAGGTTTATTTGGTTCATGGTTCTGCAAGCTGTACAAGAAGTATAGTGCCAGCACCTGCTCCTGATGAGGCCTCAGCAAGCTTCCACTCATTGTGAGAGGCAAAGGGGAGCAGGCATATCACATGGCGAGAGAGGGAGCAACAGCAGGAGGAGGAGGTGCCAGGCTCTTTAAACAACGAGCTCTCACATGAACTAATAGAGTGAGAACTCACTCATCACCAAGGGAAGGTCACAAAGCCAGTCATGAGGGGTCCACTCCCATGACCAAAACACCTCCCACCAGGCCCCACCTCCACCACTGGGGATCACATTTCAACATGAGATTTGGAGGGGACAAATGTCCAAACCATAGCAGATGGATTGGTGAGACATTTAGGAGATAATGGATGTAGGATTCCATGATAAATTAGGTAAGGAGGGTTAAGAAAATCACTCAGGTTATATAGTAGATTAACAGGGTCTCAGAACAAGGCTTATTTAATGCCAGAGAATACTCCCAACTACCGCTCTCTTTGTCCCCAAGATGCCAAAGTCACACGGAGGAGAACTGGCAACAGCTGCAGCTTCAGCTATGGCAAACCTACAGTTTTGCTGGTTTGGTTGTTTGTATCTTTGTTTTGTTGTGGAAGAGGGCATTTTAGGCAGAAGGAAAGAGGATGTACAAATGATGGTGTTGGCATTCATGGGTTTTTTTTGTAATGCTATTACATTTTTGTTAATACTAATTAAATTATTATTGTTATTGATTTCTGTGTGTACCTCCTTTTAACTTCAAATCCAGGGGGGATAAAAATTAAAGGACTTAAATAAGAATGAACCCGTCTAAAGCCAAGAACTAGACTAAGAGCTTTAGGTGAATGATTTTTTATTTCATCCTCACAACAATCCTGTGGTTTTCTGCATTTTACAGGTAAAGAAACTAAGACCCGGAAAGGTTAAGTAACCTATCCAACGTCAAACAGCTTGTAAGGAGTGACACTTATGGTTTGGAACTTCATTTCCAAATATATATACCTACATAGACACATTCTGTTTTTCTGGAGAACCCTGACTAATACAAGCTCCAAATTATAACCACCTCTTTGAATCACATTTTTCTATGAACTCGTGGATATACATGAATAAAAATCTGTCTTTTCTCTTGCTAATCTCTTTTTTCAGCTTAGCTCACAGTTTAATTCATGGTCAATCTGGCTAACATTGAATGGATTTATTATAAGGTTTGAAAATGAGTTTTAATATCAATAGCATTTCAATGCTAAACTAGAGTTTGCCATTCTCTCTTAAAAGGATAAAGTTTCTTGGATTATTGTTCTGCTCTTAGTAGGAAGTTATGAAAGTTTGTTTTTCTTTTACTTTTTGAATAATCTACTGAGGAAACAAGGATTCTCTGTCTTATCAGAATAATTTCCTATGCTTTATGTTATCTTTATCATGTTTTTGTTTATTTAAGAGAACCAAATCTTTTTTTCTAAATGACCTATGATTCTATTTCATCAAGTGTTCAAACTTTTTGACATTTTTGACAACTTTCCAAATGCAATTCTAAATGAATTCTTCTTAACTTCAAACTGATTTTGAGATCAAGACAGCGCCTGAAAAATCTGAAAGAATTTATTCTCTTGCCTTGTAAAAAGAGAGATGTTAAACAAATTAGGTTATTTGACATTCTAAATTGCCTATGAAGCATGTCAAATAAAAAGGGATTCTTAACTGTCTCTATGTTATATTAGTATGGGTATATGTTATTAATATAAATATTTCAGAAATGTATAATGTTCTTAGAAATCTGTCAATGTGGACCAGGTGTGGTGGCTCATGCCTGTAATCCCAGCACTTTAGGAGGCCAAGGCAGGAGGATCAATTGAGGTCGGGAGTTCAAGACTAGCCTGGCCAACATGGTGTAACCCCATCTCTACTAAAAATACAAAAATTAGCCAGGCAGGGTGGTGGACGTCTGTAATCCCAGCTACTCAGGAAGCTGAGGCAAGAGAATCACTTGAACCCAGGAGGTGAAGGTTGCAATGAGCCGAGATCACACCTCTAACACCGGCCTACACAACAAGAGTGAAACTCCATCTCAAAAAAACAAACAAACAAAAATCTGTCAATGTCCTTGCTGTCCGTAATATGTCCTGGCAAATGTTATCAGTCATAATTCTAGCTATTGTCTCTAAATGTTGTATTAATATGTCACAGAGACAATGAAATTTTCTTATCAATTACATTATAATGAACTCTCATCATACCTTTAACCACAGCCATTTTAAGTCTTTTGTCATCAACAGATAATTACTGTTTTACTCTAATGACTCCTTGAATGATTTTACAATCAGCAACTGGGCAAAGTGCTTCATGTTTAACAAAAGGGCCTCTCTCAAGACCCACGGAAAGGGATATGACAAGTACTCAGAAGTACAGGTTTCTAATTACATTACCTAAGTAACTTGATGATTATACCACTAGACTGAGTTAAGATTTCCAGAACTAATAGAGGAGATAGGGGTTCATTAAACTGCTAAGATCAAGCAAAACAAAAATGAATTGCATAGGACTAAATGAATTGATGAAGAAGAGTTAAAATTTTTGTGGCCTTTTTGTTTGGAATATTGTTAGTTCTCTAATGTTCTATTTTCTGGGGATATAAGGAACCCCTTTCTCTTTTCTCTTAAACTCTCTATACTTACAGCAATTTAGTAGATTATATGTCTGTAAACAAAAATGAAACATTCATCTTTTTCTCTCTATAAGCCCTGCAGAATTCAGAAACTCTTATTGAGTATTCTTATTTTCATGGCAATACAGCTATTTGCGTAAGTTTAATAAAAATCTCTTCCCCTTGAAACAAGAAATAATTGGAAACATAGGTTATATTATGAAGGCTTTGACTAAATTGTCATATTTGAGACTGATGTGCCTTGAATCAGATATGACCAATATTTTAACAACTAAGTTTGACTTTATGGAGTCAATGCTTTAAAAAGCCGTCTTGGAAAAATAGACCTGGTTCCTGGACTACAGGGTTCCCAGCCTTACAGATGAGTAATGAAGGTCACTTTTGTGGCAGTCTCAGGAAACTGTATGTTTTGAAGACCTCAAGAAGATAGGAATTCACCCAAATCTATAGGGACTACAAGTGAAGTCTGATAGCAAGCTCTTGGCTTGACTTTTTGCCTCAAAGGCTTTTAAAGGTCCAATATGAGGTTCATTATAAAAGTTCCAATAAAGCACATTTTTAAAAGTTTGTATGGTCAATTACCATTTTTGCTGCACTTATGCAAATAAATGACCAGGCCATATTTAATGAGATGACTTATTTATAAACAAGGGTAATCTTACTTTGATTATCTTTGAGCAAAATGGGAATAATTGTAGAAAGAAATTTTATATGCAGTGGAAAACTATGACTCACCCTGTGGGTTATCAGATTCCAGTCCTATTCATTGTCTTTGAGCTGTTTTTATCTCAATGTAAATAGGATCCTGCTCTTTTACACATTTTTTCAGTAATTAATGTTTCCAATTTTTCTCCCACCTTCCTGACTTGAGAGCTAAAACTGCCCTTTTCCCGAAGCTCTGGAAGTTGAAACTGGATGGATTGATATAACTTCAAAGGATTTATCACAACAGTTTGGTCCAGTGAGAAAGTTCACTAGAACACCTCATCTTCCATGCCATGCTCAAGGAAATAACCATGACGATAACATTGCCACTGTCATCCTCATTTCATCATCCAAAGACACTTTGGGCCCAATTTCTAGAAATCTTCTTGACTGGCTGCACTCTAGACTAAAAGAAAAAAAGAAAAAAAATGAGTTTATTGTCTGCTTCAACCATTAATCTTTGTTTTTGTTTTGTCTCCATAGAAATGCCCTTTATTAAATACCTGATGGTTTCCAGCACATAAAGGCCTAACTCCCACCTGCACCACTGCCTCCTGAAATGATTTACAAACGTGTAACCTTTCCCAGGATTGGAAGACTGGTTAAATGGAATATGGGGCAATTAAATAATTCTGCTCCTTATCTGTGACATTTCTAGGGAAGTTTCAGATGAGGGAATGAAGAGAACCAGAATATACCACTATAAAGAGTATTTTTTCTGAACATCCCTCATCTGCCTAAAAGCAGAGCCTCCTAAAGAAATTTGATAGCCATTAATGCCCTCTGTGGGAGTTTTGCAACCCAGGAAGATAGATTCCTATCACTGGAGATGAGAAGTTGGCATCGGGAAAAACATATACTGCCACTGTATTAAAGAAATACCTGAGACTGGGTAATTTCTAAAGAAAAAAGATCTGATTGGCTCATGGTTCCACAGGCTGTATAGGAAGCATGATGTTGGCATCTGCTCAGCTTCTGAGGGGGCCTCAGGAACCTTTCAATCATGGTGGAAAACAAAGAGGGAGCAAGGCACTCCACATGGCTGGTGCAGGAGAAAAAGAGAGAGAGGGCTGAGTTGCCACTCACTTTTAAACAACCAAATCTTGTGGGAACTCTATCACAAGAACAGCACCAAAGGGGTAAATGCGCCCCCATGATCAATCACCTCTCACCAGGCCCCACCTCCAACATTGGGGATTACAATTGGACATAAGATTTGGGCAGGGACACAAATCCAAACCATATCAGCCTCAAAACTGATATTTCCCACTCATATTTCTGAGTCCATTTATCTTTCCTAAAAGTCATTTGTTTCCCCATAAGTGTTCTTCTCTCCCTCTTTCCCCTATTGTGATAGTATAAGACCCCAAATTCTAACTGCTTTTTAAAGTCACATTTTTCTGTGAGCTTCATGTACATACATGAATATTGCTAATCTGTCTTTTGTCATGTTGACAGAAAAGGCAAACTCTGTAACATATTTCAAGAGATTTATTCTGAGCCAAATGTAAGGACCATGACCTGTGACAACCCCAAGAGGTCCTGAGAACATGTACCCAGGGAGATTGGGTTACAGCTCGATTTTGGAAAATGCTACAGGCAGACATCAATCAGTAAGTGTAAGGTGTACATTGGTTCAATCCAGAAAGGCAGGAAAACTTGAAGTTGGGACAGGGGGTGCCGACAGGGGTACCTCCAGGTCATAAGTAGATTCAGAGATTTTCTGATTGGCAGTTGGTTGAAAGAGTTATTATCTAAAGACCTGGAGTCAATAGAAAGGAGTGTCAGGGTTAAGATAAGGGATTGTGGAGTCTAAGGTTCTTATTATGTAGAAGAATTCTCATAGGTGACTATGCTTAGAGGAAATAGATGACCAGTGATTTCTATTCAGACCTTTAAAAGTGCTAGATTCTCACTTAATCTCTTGAGAATCAGAAAAAGACCTGGAAAGGGAAGAGGATTCTCTGGAGAATGTAAATTTCTCCTACAAGAGAGAATTTTGCAGGGATATTCCAAAATATGTCAAAGAAATATATTTTGGGTAAAATAATTTCTTTCAGGGCCTGCTGTCATGTGATGCTATACTAGACTCAGGTTGGAATTTGGAATCTTATTGTTACAAAGAGTCTGTTTTGTCAGTCTTAGGATCTCTGTTTGAATGTTAATGCTGATTGGTTGTGCCTGAAATTCCAAAGGGAGGAGGGTAAAATAAGGCATGTCCAACACCCCGATTCCCATCATGGCATGAACTAGTTTTTCAGGTTTACCCTGGAATCCCCTTGGCCGAGAGGAGAGGTCCATTCAGTTCGGTGGGCATCTTAGAGTTTTATTTTTGGTTTACAGTCAGTTTCATTTGCAGTTCCTCAATTACTGAATGTAAGAAGGTAAAGGAGAAGTATTTCCTCCTCACAGTGTAAATGAAACAGAGACTGCTTCCACAGGTTGTGTTAAATTAATAGCTACCTGTATACAAGAATTATTCTGCTTGTCCAATGGCCCCAACTGGGGGCACAGAGTCAGAAAATTCATTAAGTCATTTTTCCACTCCACTTTAACTTGTGATTTAAAGGTTTCAAACCACCCTCCTGTTTCATCTCCAGCTGGCTTCTAGTGGAATTCACCCAGTGCAGACAAAAGGGTTTTATTTCTGCCCCTAACTAGGTGAGGTGTTAACAACCACTTACCATGATATTTAATTGGGTTCTTAAGACTGGTTTAGATTCTTTAAATATTTTCCAGGTGGCATTTAAAAAGTCATTTCAAGAGTTCAACTACTTTAACTGAAACAATCTAATGGAGCCTCTGCCAGCTAGCTCCTTGTGGGGATGGGGGTGGGGGTGGGAGGAGGGAGGAGCCTGTTCAGCATACCACAGGGGTACATCAGTCAAATGAGGAATAGAAAACCTGCTATAGAACAAATGACTGACCCAGGGTCTTCAAATCAATGGAATTGGGTAAAAAGAGGGGAGAGGGAAAATTATTAGAGATTAAAAGATTAGACTCAAGAGGTAGATCAATCAAATGTAATTTTGGTTTGGATCTTGATTCCAATAAACCAAGTGCTAAAAGATTTTTTTGGAGAAAACTGGGAAAATTGAATGTGTATTGGGTATTAGAAGATCCAGTTAGAATTGAATCATAGATGGTTGTTAATTTAATTGTGAGTGATAGCAATAATGGTTTGCCTGTGTGTGTGTGTGTGTGTGTGTGTGTGTGTGTGTATCTATTGGGGAGACACACTAAAGTGTTTAGGGATAAAAAGTTATAACATTTGCAGTTTACTTTAAATACACCTGGGAGGAAAGGGTGTATATTGGAGGATGAAGGGACACAGATTAAATAAAATCAGAAAAATGCTGATAATTATTAAAGCTGGGTGATGGGTATGCAGAGGTTCACTATTCTAATTTTGTATGTCTGATATTTTAAATAATAAAAAAGTAAAATATAAAGGCACACATTGTTGCTGGTAGTGTAAATTAATACAAATTCTTTGAAAAATAATTTGAAATACTCACCAAAAATAATAAAAATGTTTACCGCTTAATAAAAAACAAACAAACAAAACCTCAGCATTTTTGCAGACCAACAACTGACTCACAGGAATCTATCCTAAGAAAATAATCCCGGATATGTGTAAAGATTACTGAAAGGATATTTGTCCTGGAGGAGTTTAGAATGTCAGAACATGAAAAACAACGGTAATTGCCATCAATAAAAATTAGTTTAACTTATAGAAAAAGACTATGTTGGTGTATTACATCATCGAGAGACAGGAGTAGCTGGATTTCCCAGGCCGACTAAGAATCCCTAAGCCTAGCTGGGAAGGTGAGGGCATCCACCTTTAAACAGGGGGCTTGCAACTCAGCTCACACCCGACCAATCAGATAGTAGAGACAGCTCACTAAAATGCTAATTAGGCAAAAACAGGAGGTAAAGAAATAGCCAATCATCTATTGCCTGAGAGCACAGCGCCAGGGACAATGATCAGGATATAAACCCAGGCATTCAAGCCAGCAACGGCTACCCTCTTTGGGTCCCCTCCCTTTGTATGGGAGCTCTGTTTTCACTCTATTAAATCTTGCAACTGCACTGTCTTCTGGTCCATGTTTGTTACTGCTCGAGCTGAGCTTTCGCTCCCCGTCCACCACTGCCGTTTGCTACCGTGGCAGACCTGCCGCTGACTTCCAACCCTCCAGATCCAGCAGGGTGTCTGCTGTGCTCCTGATCCAGCGAGGCGCCCATTGCTGCTCCAAATCGGGCTAAAGGCTTGCCATCATTCCTGCACGGTTAAGTGCCCGGGTTGGTCGTAATCGAGCTGAACACTTGTCACTGGGTTCCACGGTTCTCTTCCGTGACCCATGGCTTCTAATAGAGCTATAAAACTCACCGCATGGCCCAAGATTCCATTCTTTGGAATCCGTGAGGCCAAGAACCCCAGGTCAGAGAACACGAGGCTTGCCACCATGTTGGAAGCGACCTGCCGCCATTTTGGAAGCAGCCCACCATCATCTTGGGAGCTCTGGGAGCAAGGACCCCTGGTAACATCATCATGAAAAATGCTGTTGAAAAATACTAATATAAAAATGTACAAAATGGGTTTTTAGAAAGATTACAAAATAATTGGCACCCTACAGTCAGACTTTCACTAAAATTAAGAAAATAAAAAGATCTTATTAAGAGAATGAAAAGATATACCTTGAAAGTCACAATGATTTTCTCTAAATAGTGGGAATATAGATGACTTATTTTCTACTTTTTAGTTTTCAGTATTGTCTAAAATTCTAAATATAAATATGTATTTGTTTTCAGATTAATTTTAAAAGAATATGTTAAAATTCTTAATGTTAAATGTCATGCTTTACAAATGCAAAAAGCACTACTTTTTCTTAGAATTTTTTGGCAATGACTATTTTTTGAATTTAAAAAATTGTTTTTAATTTTTGTGGGTACATAGTAGGTGTATTTATTCTTACAATTTTTTTTTATTTGCAGTAAAGTACACTAATTTCAAGTGCCCAACCTAGTGGTTTTTCTACATATGTACACACCCAGATGTTACCACTACCCACATCAAGATATAGAGCGTTTCCAGCACCTCCTGTTTTCTTACATACATTTCCAGTCTATTGCCTTCACTTAGAATTAACCACTATTTTGACATCTATAAATATTGTCAGATTTGTACTGTTCTTTAACATTATCTAAATTGAATGATGCAGTATATATTTTTTGGGTCTGGCTTCTGGAACACAGCACAGTGTTTGTAATTCATCTATATTCTTGTGTGTTCTAGTGATCCATTCTTTTGTACTAACTGTATAGAATTTAATTATCTAATTATGTCATAATTTATTCATTATCTTGTTACTGAGGCATTTGAGCTGTTTCAAGTTAGGGACTATTAGGAATCACTTTTCTAGTAACTTTGTTAAGTCTTTTGTGAACATATACACCCATTTCTCTTGGGTATATACCTAGGAGTGAAATAAATGGTTAATTATAATAACTGCCAAATAGCTTTCCAAAGTAGCACCATTTTATATTCCTACTAACAATGTAAGAGACTTCCAGTTGTTCCACATCCTTGCCAATACACGGTATTATTAGTCTTTTAAATTTTAGCTCAATTTTTTAAAAGACAGAGTCTTGCTATGTTGCCCAGGCTGGAGTGCAGTGGCATAATCATAGCTCACTGCAGTGTCAAACTCCCTAAACTGAAGCAATCTTTCTGCATCAGCTTTCCAAGTAACTGGGATTACTGGTGCTCACAACCTTCAAATAATTTTTAGTAGGCCTTCTCCCAATGCTTAACAGATTTATAGCTAATGATTCAAAATTAACCAGGACACTTTTAAATCCAAGTGATAGAAAGTCAAATCAAAATAGTGTCAGCAAAAAACAGAAACGTATGTTTCATACCACTGGAAGGCTGTGAAGACAGGTTTTTCATGTCATGGCACACACAGAAAATGATAATATGTATAAGAGCCCACAGGAGTCATCTTAAATCGGCTCAACTCTGGTTGCAGTTGGAGGCAGCATGCCTGCTTCAGCCCAGCCTGGCTACCAGGCTGAAGGAACCAACACACAGAGGACTAAAGCAGAGACGATGAACCCAAGTTGATGCTCAACCCTGCTACCTTTGGCACCCTGGTTGGAAAGCTCTGAGGTCGGTAACAGGTAACACAATAAAGAATTGCTATGGGAACCAGGCCAATATAGTAGAACAGGGACTCAATGATACGAGAACCCACTTCCTACTAGTCTACCTCTCACCACTCTTTATCTCTTTGTTTTGGCCTTATCCTTTCTCCGTGGGCTGTGGATGGTAGCCACCCAGAATCCTTAGCTTCTGACAACTTCTATCCAAGAGAATGGGAGGGGCATCAGTGTCCTGGGGCTTCTGCAACAAAGTACCACAGACTGGGTGGCTTAAAAAAAACAAAATTTCTCCTCTGTCAGTTATGGGGGCTGGAACACTGAAATCAAGGTGTGCACAGGGATATGCTCTAGAGAAGAATCTAGTTCATGCCTTTCTCTTAGCTTCTGGTGTCGTCGCCAGCGATCCTTGCATTCCTTGGCTTGTAGATGCCACTTGCCTTAATGATCACTTGAGTTTCTGCTTCCAACCTCCCACGACATTTTCCTCCTCGGTCCCTGTGCCTCTTCTCTTTTTATAAGGACTCCAGTCATATTGGATTAAGACCCAAATAAGGTCACATTCATAGGTATGAGGGGTTAGGTCTTCACCGTATCTTTTGTGGGTAACAATCCAATCCACAACAGGGGGCCTACTCTTCCCCAGCAATTCATAACACCTGGGCAAGGGCTGCCTCAGGTTATGTGCCTAGCCCTTTAACTTATCTTTGGTGTCCCAAAGATGCAGTACTATAGTTTGTTTAGTCTGGATCACATACTCAACCCTGTGATGAGGCCAGAGGTGGGTGGTGGTGCACAATGATTTGACTGTCAAATATTCAAAAATAACATGGACTAGAGAAAGAATTCCCCAAAGAAACCAAAAGAAATGGTATGACCAAAGTACGGTAGGCAGATAAAAACAATATCTACAACAGTTCACTCTAAACCATAAATCATTCTGTTTTCTGGTGTTGTATATATTATAAAATTCATTTTGGGAGGCTCACCAAGAATTTATGGTGTACATATTGTTGGAGATATTTTACTGAGATACTTTAAAAAAGTAGATACCCTGAATTACTGGTAACATCTACTTTAAGCCCTTTCTAGGGAAAAACTGTCAGGCACACAGAAGATTTTCTGACTGCTGAGATAATTTCATTGATAAAAGAGCTGCCTTAATCTCTGAAGCAGTCAATGTAGGTTCATTTCAAAGAACATTTTTGAAACAATTAAGAATTATAGATATGTACAAACTGTTCAAAATAGTGATTCTGAGGAGTAGACCTGAGGGCTGGGGAGACTGTTATGGGTTGATTACATCCCTCACAAGCTCATATGTTGAAGTCCTAAGTCCCAGGAACCTCAGAGATGACCATATTTGGAGACAGAGGCTTTGAAAAAGTAATTAAGATAAAACGACATTAAATAAGTGGGCTTTAACCCCATATGACCGGTGTCCTTATGAGAAGAGATTAGGACACAGACACCTGCAGAGGGAAGGCCCCGTGAAGACACAGGGAGAAGATGGCCATCTACTAGCCAAGGAAGAGGCCTCAGAAGAAACCAACCCTGCTGCACCTTGATCTTGCACTTCATCTAGACTCCACAGTGTGAGAAAATAAATGTCTGTTGTTTAAACCACCCAGCTTGTGGTCCTTTGTTGTGGCAGCCCCAGCAAATTAATACAGGGACTTAGCGACAACACGGAGGATTAAAGCAGAGGCGGTGAACCCACGCTGATGCCTAACCTTTGCCAATCTTTGTTTCTTTCAGGGCATGCTGCTTCTGTATTCTCAGGCATGCTGTATGGGCACTGCCAGCCAGCTTCAGAGATGGGTCCAGGTCCTTTTAGACATGTTAGTTGATGCCCAACCTCTAGGGACACAATTTCTTTCTGCAGTGGATTCATGACCTAACCTGGGCAAATGAGCCTTGAGAGGACATATGCTAGAAGCTCATGGAAAAGAAACTTTCTTGCTTTTCTGAAAAAGCTACTGAGAGAGCCCCTTTACTCTTTCTACAGGATCTGGAGGAGGAAGCAGGCAGGCCCTGGGTCTACTGGCAACCATCTTGTGATCATGAGTTGAGACTATATTACCAGGAAATGATCCCTACAGAAGGCAGAGTGCAGAGAGGAAGAAAACAATCTGAGGACATTATTGAGTGCTGTATTAAGCGCAGCAAATTACATGGGCCAATAAATACCTTTTCTTTCTTAAGCCTGTTGTTATAACTGAATGCATCCTACTATAATGGTTAGAAAATAAAATATTTTTAAAATAGGCCTCTGTTACTTTTTTAACTTTACAGAAATAACTAAAAGCAAACAACAACATCAAAACTCAAAGAATTATTTTTTAAAATTCCATAATAAGAACTGTAAAAAATAGGAGAAACTTTCTTTCTAACAGGAGCCTATTTCTAGAAACCAATTAAATCATTACAAGTAATAACAATTTCTCTTTACAGAGTACCACATGCCAAGCCATGTACTAAGCATATTATATGCAGTATCTCATTTAATCCACACAACAATCTCAAGAGGGTTCTATAAATATCCTCATTTTACAGATGAGGAAACAAAGATTCCAAGAATTTAAATAATTTGTTTAATGTTGCACAGTAAGAAAAAGACTAAACAAAGATTGAGTCCTGATCATCTAACTCTGAAACACCTACTCTATACCAGTTCACACTCTGCCTTTCTAAGCAAGTAGCATGCATAGCTCTAATCCGTACACCACCTTACCAGGTAGGGCTTACAGCAGATGAGGAAATTAACACTCACAGACATTATGTAACATGAGGGAGGTCCCACAGCTAGCTAGTAATTATACAAAAAGATAAGCCACAGGGCACAGAGCGTCGTCTCAGAGATTAACAGGCAAGATGATGAATACATGGAAAAAGCCACCAAAGCTTGGCACTCAAAGAGCCCTTAAAGATTCCCAGTTCATAAAAAAAAATTAGCTGCGTGTGGCGGCAGGCACCTGTAATCCCAGTTACTCGGGAGGCTGAGGCAGGAGAATCGCTTGAACCCGGGAGGCAGAGATTGCACTGAGCCGAGATCGCACCACTGCACTCCAGCCTGGACGACAGAGTGAGACTCCATCTCAAAAAAAAAAAAAAAAAAAAAAGATTCCCAGTTCATCACCTTCTTTTTGTTCTTGAAGAACTGAGACCCAGAGACATTTCTTATCTTGCCCAGGGCAACACAGCCAGTAGGGGCAGAGGTACGACGACACAAGTCTTTGTTAATCAACATGTTTTTCTAATACACAAGACTGCCTTTGATGAACTGCATTTGCAGGGCACCTGCTGAATACACTTGATATGGGAACTTTTTCCTGTCTTAATGGAGTAGATCCAGCCTCCAGTACCTGTTTGTCTTAATAGAGTCCCCTAATTTTCCCTACAGAAACAACCTCTTTCCTCCTGCGTGCAGCCTTGAGAGGGCTGGTAAATCCCCCTCCCCTGGACATGCGACTTCAGTCACAACAATTGAAATTTCTCTCCTGGGAATTTGTAATTTGTCTATGCTTTATTTTGATAATAAATCTTTGTTTTCCCCCAAGGAATTTGGAATCGATTTCCATTGTCCACAACCTAAGAACCTATAACACTTAAGGCCTTTTTCAGTTGCAAGTGTTAGGAAACCCAAGCCAAATACACTTAAGCAAAAAAAAAAAAAAAAGGAAATTTAGTGTCGTCTTAGATGAGGGATCTACAAAGTATTGCTCTTGTGCCAAGCCCTCCCCACAACTGCCTGCCTTTGTAAGTAGTTTTACTGGAACACAGCTAAGCCCATTGGTTTATGTATCACCCATGGCTTTTGTACTCCAATGGTAGAGACCAGTAGCTGTGATAGAGACGACATGACCCACAAAGCCTAAAGCCCTTACTATCTGGCCCTTTACGGGCAAAGTTTGCCAATCCCTGACTTAGGTAGATTAAAAGTCAGGTGCCGCTAGATCAAGGGACTCAGATGACATTTCTAAAACCCAATCCGTCCATCTCTTGGCTTCTGTCTGCTTTCTTCCTTGTGTTAGCTCTATTCTCAGGCTCTTCCCTGTGGTAATAAGATGACTGCATCAACTCCAAACCACATCTTCTCAGCTTCATCCTGTCCACCAGCAAATAAAAGTCTTGGGCCAGGCCCTCACTGGTCCTAATCAGCCTTTCACTGTGGTCCCAGGGATGAGACTTGCTGATTGCTTTAAGCCAATCACGATTAACTGCAGGAGCTCAGAGTGCTTGCTTCTGCTCCTAAATTTCCTTTATCCCCTTTATTTCATACAGTGCCTACTCAACAGTTAATAATCCATTTTATTCCCAATCAGGAGAGAAAAAAGTGATGAGTATTAATGGATTCTATTATTAAAGAAAGCCTTGATATGTGATTTAGTATTAGGACCTTTCTAGTAAAAAATCGAGAAAAGTCAAGGAAATCAGTTCTCATCAGGCCAAGCTCTCATGAACAGCTTCCTTTGTTATGTTTAAGCCTCTGACATTTGCCACATAATTGAAACCTTCTTTTTGGCCTTTCCCTCCCATTTCCCTTCTCTCTCACCTGTCCTGTGATCCAACTTTCTCTCAATTTCTCTTCACTTTTCCAGATATCCAGGATCCTTCCTTGGCTATACTCCATGGCTGCTCAAATCTCCGTCTCCCTACACTACCTAACCTTTCCCCTGAAATCCTATCCTAGCACAAATTTGTGCACTCCAAAATTTCCTCCTTTTCTTTTCTGCACCAACCACTTGCACTTTTAGTTAGATGCTAGACAAGCAAATAGATTAAACTGAATTACATCAAAATGTCCATCGTGATTCATAGCTAACAGTAGCTCCACATATCCATCCCTCTCAGGCATGTTGAAAATGAGCCCAAACGAACACCAACTGGCAGGACTTCGCAGATTCACCAAGTTTCAGGGTTGGAAGGAAATTAGCCAATGAATCCAATGGTTCGCAACTAGTAGATATTAGTGGGAAGTGTTACAAGCAATATGGTGTAAATAGTACCAAATAATTCATTTAAATTATTGACTTAAAAAAGTAAAGCAAAGATAGGTAAATAGAACCCTAGTCAGGCACTTAACAATGGAGACACATCCTGAGAAATGTGTTGTTAGGTGATTTCATCATTGTGCAAACATCACAGAATGTACCTGATACAAACCTAGATGGTACAGCCTTTGCCACACCTGGGCTATATGGTATATATTGCTCCTAGGCTACAAACGTGTACAGCGTATTACTCTACTGACTACTGTAGGCAATTGTAACACAATGGTAAATATTTGTGTATGTAAACATAGAAAAGGAACAGTAAAAATATAGCATTATAATCTTACAGGACAACCATCATATATGCAGTCATTGACCAAAAATGTTATTATGTGGTATATGACTGTATATTAAAATTAGAGACTTCTGTTTATCAGAAAATGTCCATAGCAGCTAAATTCTCATATCTAGACTATGTAAATAACTTTCACAAACCAATAAGAAAACTTGACACTTGAACACGTATTTCACAGAAGTGTCAGGATATTCAGGTGGCTAATAAGCATATGAAAAAGTGCACACACTTATTAACCCACTGGGAAGATGCCAATTAAAACCACCAGGAACCAGAATGATGAACAACTGGAACTCACATCACACTGCTCATGAAAATGCAAATAGGTATAGCCATTTTGAAAAACTACCTAGTGTCTACTAAGCTGTTTAGTACTTGCTGAACATGGACAACCTAAAGCTGAACCAACAATTCTACTCCTAGGCATATTATGGAACTAGTCAAATAACTCCGAACACAAACTCAACTTATGGGGAGTTGCAATTTAAAGTCTGTAGGAAAAGCGACAAATCTCCAAAAGACCTTGAACCTTCCTTAAATTGTCCATAAAATACAGTATACAGACACACTATCTCTACCATTTGGTGCATGCTAAACAGTTTACATAGCAAAGTTCATTTGATCCTCACAATTCTACTAGACAGGTTCTATGAACCCCATTGTATGGATAGGCTCAGAGAGGCAGAATAACTTGCCCAAGATCACACAGCTAAATTGAGAGAGAGCTGGGGTTTAAGCCTGACCCCAGTCAGTGTTAAGACGCTTATCCATTCCTTACTACCTCTCCAGCTGGTTGCCCTCACTAAGGCAGACAAGCCCTGTAAAGGCGGAGAAGAGAGAAGAACGTTTGAAGCTTCCCTGTGCTCCGACTTCCCATGGCCTTATTTCATTCATCAACCCAGATGCTAGCCTTTTCTGGAAAGTGTTGGTTTGGGTTCTCCTCCAGTTTCCCATTCAGAGCCTTAGTCTAGACTAGGAGTGAAGCCACCTCTGTACAGATTATAACTGAGGAAATTATGACAGTGAAAAAGATCAGACCTAATTGACTCCATCTTGCTCCTAACATTTAAGCTGTCCTTGTTCATTCCTAGGCATAAGCTGAGCTAACCTTAGGAAGGAATTTAGTTTATAGTTTTACTCTGAAACAAAATTGATAGTAACCCTTTCCCAAAAAGACCCCCTTCTTGCCTGGAGATCAGTCTGCCTTTGTAGGACTAACAAATTAGCTACAAAATTAGAAATTATGTTTTAGGGGTCATGCAGCCTCTGGATGCAAGAGTCTGACCCTTCCCAAATTGCTCCTAGGGATAACATCACTATTGTAAAACCTAAGATCAGTGCTTGAGATATTTTGCAGACCCTGCACTGGATGGATCAGCTGACACCACCCAGACCGGTAATCTGGCTCAACCAGTTCTGTGATCTGACCCAGGAACAGAAGACAGCAAGAAAACCTCATTTCAACCCCCTCTATGCTTCCATTTCCAACCTCACCAATCAGCACTTCCCACTTCCCAAGCCCCTACTTGCTAAATTCTCTTTAAAAAATCCCATCCCCAAATGCTCTGGGAGACTGATTTGAGTAATAATAAAACCTTGGTCTCCTGCACAGCTGGTTCTGCATGAATTACTCTTTCTCCATTGCAATTCCCCTGTCTTGATAAATCAGCTCTGTCTAGGCAGTGGGCAAGGTGAACCCATCAGATGGTTAAAGAAGGAGCTGGCAAACCACAGCCATGTCCAGCAGATCACCTGTTTCTATAAAGTTTTATTGGAACACAGCCAGACCCGTTTGTATCCTTTATTGCTGCTTTTGCCCTACAATGGCAGTGTTGAGTAACTGCAACACAGACCATATGGCCCTCGGTGCCTAAATTATTTTCTATCTCGCCCTTCATAAAAAAGTTTGCTGATTCCTGTCCTAGACTAATACACTTCCCCTCAGTCAATCCCCTATAACAATCAGGAGGAGGTTGATTTTGTCATGTCCTGGTCCCGATAAGCCTCCTGGTCACCCAGGCTCCATCTCCATGAACAGACATCTGGAGGCTCTTAGTTCAGAAGAATTCTGAGGGGCTCCAAAGCTGTTTTCTGCTCCTAACAGGCCCACCCACTTCTTAGGTAGCTAATCCTAGAAGGGCTTGTTTCAGGGAAGGCACCTACACTCATCTGTGTGAACTGCGTTTATGTCTAATTATCACACAGCACAATATTGGTTTTTGCATATCCTTTACAACATCACATTAAATTTGCTGCAAGCTTTATTTGATCTCAACACTAAAGTCTGCTCATGCATATTCCACCTTCATAACTAGTTGCTTGTGGAATATGGCCAATTGCTCACAGTTTATACAAAATCAAAGGGAACACTGGTCAAGAGTACTGAACTATTCTCTTATACTTCAGATTAATTCTAATGTGTCACTGATGAAAGGAAATTACTACAAAGCTAACAGCCCAAAAAGAAGTTCAGATTTTCAAATGAAATATCAAGAGACAATTATTAGTAAGTTTATGGACTGTGTAGTGATTTAATACTTCTAAAGCCAAAGCTATCAGCTTAAATAACTTCTGTCTTGACTAAAGCCTTCAGCAAAATAACATCAGGATTTCCAAAATACATCTATACATCAAATCAAAATACAAAATACATCAGGAAAGGAGGCAAATATGCTTTCTTATCCTAATAGTTCAATTAAAAACATATGCTTTTAATAATAATAGCTATGCTTTTCTAAATTCTTACATTGGACTAGACTCTGTTTTTGCATGCAGTATCTCATTTCATCTCCCCGACAGTCATAAATAAGTATGATTACTATCCCCATTTTACAATGGAGGAGACTAATGTGTAGTGATTAAGTAACTTGCAAAAGTTCCTAGTGCCGTCTAGATAGCCCTGTTCACTCCTTTGTGCCCTATAGTCCTTATACACACATCATAAAAAGTTGTCAATGCCCATTTTCTACTGTGAGAAATCCAACTTAGATGAAGGATTCTGCTATATAGTTATACAAAAAGCATACATTGTGATGCTATTAGACACCAGGCGCTGTTCTATGTTTTGCAATCATGATTTCACTTCTTCCTAGCAACCTCCACAGTCCTTGCATTATCTTCATTTTTCAGTTGAGTGACCTGAGACTCAGAGAGGTGAAATAACTCACCCAAGGTCACATAGATAGTGAACAACAGAGCAGGCACTTAAATGGGGAATGGACATTTGGATGTCTGCAAAGTGCTTTGAGACCCCTTAAGGAAAGCGCCGTCTTCATACATCAATGAATCTAGTTGAAGACGTTGGGCTGCGATGTGTATGATGGAGTAATATTGAGGGTCAGAGCAGGGACAGAGCTAAACAGCTCCGCTTACTAAAAAGAGTAAGGAATTTGAAGTTCCCCAGAGGCAGAGCAAAAACAACACTGGAGGCTGCTATGGAGCAAAGGGCATCAAGGGGAACCCTTAAAACATAGCCAAGTGGGACTTTGGAGAGAAGAAATCCTGAAAGTTGTGAAAGTGGTTTGCAGGGATGTGCAGGTGCATGTATGTGTGTGTTGAAGTATGTGCAATATACGTCCCCTCACCCCCTCCTCAGACCTCACCAGCTTATTGTGAGCCAAGTCCACTTTACTGATGTGTGGGGAGATTCTTTCCAGATAACTTAACCCTAGCTGTGGACTGTTGCAAGGCAAAAACAGAGATTGCTCATGTGGGTACAGGAGCCCAAGCCCAAGGGACCAGCTGTCCTCCCATCCAAGTTACGTAAATAATTTACAGGGAACTTATTTCAGTTCCTGCTTGTCAACTACACGATTCATTTGAATTAGGTCCTCTTTAGTACCAGGTACTAAACAAATAAACGAAAAGACTCATTACAGGGTATTTGAGACTAAGTTTCTACACTGCTCACTATCAAACAGGTATCTTACCCATGTTAATTATTTAACCCTCACAATACTGTGAAGTAGAGATATTGTAACCACCATTTTACATCAGAGAAATTGAAGCACATGGAATTTAAATAACTAGGTCAAAACCACACAGCTGTTAATAAGAGCACTGCTGGGACTTGAATTCAGGCAGTGTGGCTTCAGAGCCCATAATCTGAACCACTACACCAAACTGCCCAGTGCATGCTGCCTAGAGTGTAGTGGACTGAGGAGAAATCAGCAATGGCAGTAATTGCAGTGCCTTCTAACCTCCCACCTCTAGTTCCTGAGTTGACCATGGGCAAACTCTATTTAGTATTCTTCCTCAAGGTAGATTGAACTGGCAATGCAGACAAGGTCAATCATGCTGTTAAAACTACAGGTTGGCTGCTTCTGGAACCTTAATTTGAGGTGCTTGGCTTTTTCATACAGGAAAAGACATCGGGAATGAACTTGGACTCACAAGCCAGATGTCCAGTCCCAGGTCCCTCCATTCTTAGAGCATCTCTGCCCCACTCCCCATTACATTTGTCATTGGCTCACCTGCTGCTTCAAAAGGAGGCAGCATTTGGCTACCCAACAAAGCAAAGTGTCTCCAGTCAGAACGCAGGGACCAGGACAAAAACCATCTTTGATATATCAAACATTTTGAAAACTTGAAACATACATAACTCTTTGAGCCCCGAATATTGGCGTAGCTTAAACTTCTTCCTCAAGGCAGGATGAAACATGTAATAATATAAAGGGTTAGGAAATCCCCAATAGCACAGCTGATACCTGCTTTTTTCTCACCCCAACCAAGATTAAATCATCAAGAGGGAAACTTTAGGTACATTTCTTGACCAAGGTGTAATCTGGTTTTCTTTCTGTGAGACAGAAGACTGAGAACTAACAATTTGGTGCTGCTGAAGGTGGCGGTGAGGGGGTTCCTATTAGAAGAACTATTAACTTTTAGAGTTGTTTTTACAATGGCATTAAGCCATTTGCTTTGCAACTACACAGGGAATAAACATTGATAGGATGTTCTGTGAACACAGCTGCACACTGACATCTGGCATTGCCTCTGGAATCCTAGAGGATACATCTGTCAGTAAAGCGGCTCCTCTGGAGACCCCCACACTCAGCCCTTGGAAGCTGGAATGGAAATGCAGCTGCTGCATCACACAGAAAAGTCAGAAAAGGGCAGGTTGCCCTGCCCAGGCTGAGAAACCATAGACTTGGTTCTACCTCAAGTAGAGGGGTCAGGGTCTGTAATCCTCACCACAAAGATGACTCAAACTCATAAAAGCAAACACTAAAAGCTATTGAGCAACTACAATGGGCCAGACACTGTGCTGTGCACGCTGTATGTTATACTTCATAATAGTGAGGTGGGTAATACCAGTATTCCTGTTTTACAAGGGAAGACAGAGGCTCAGAGAGGATGAAATAGGGACCTAGTCCCACGTGTTTAGTAAGTGGCAGAGCCAGGACTTGAACATTGGTTTATTCTGATGGAGGAGACCATGCTCTTATCCATCACCTTAAACCACCTCTCAAGTGAGTGGCAATGAACAGCTGGTCCAACAGATCATACAACACTCTGGCTGGCTCAGCCCTTAGCAGGCATACTTCCAAGCACCTACTTGGTGTAAAGCACACCTGCTGAGTGAAATGTAGACAGCACAGCAGTGCTGTGTTTAACAGATGGAGATGGTGATCTTTACCTTCCGAGTACACAACCCCTGTTCTCCCATTTGTACTTTCCCATCTTTTCTTCCCCCACCTTTTTTCCCTTTCCCAAAGTCATGGTCAGATACACTCTGATGACTCATGATCTGAGGAACAAAGCAAGAATTTTAATCAGTTGCCCCTATGTCTTCCCCTCTTTGAGTCTTTCTCTACATGTCTAGGTAGATACAGGGAATATATTTACGTGCTTCTCAAAAAACGGTATTCAGTAAAAATTCTCTCTGCCACCCACGCTCCCACCTACCCTGTTCCTACTCCCAAGCCCTACCTATTAGTATTTTCTTGTGATTCTTTCCAAATTTCATGCATATAAAAGACACTGCAAATATGTTATCTCCTCTCACTCCTTCCCATTTTATTGGCACTTTTTTCATGTGAATATTCAGGGGGGCATCTTCATTCTCTTTTATAGCTACATAGAGTTACAGTGTATGGATTTACCATAATGTATTAATATTTAATCTTTCCCATATTACCAAACATTCAGATGGTCTCCAAGCTTTTGTTATTCATAAGTTGATACTTTGAACTCCTTAAATATATACCTCAATTGGCTAGAGCTCAGAGAGGAGAAAGATAGATAGACATCCAAAATTCCAACGCTATCCACCACTAAAAGCTCTCAGAGTAAAAAAGCAAAACATTCAGCAAAAGCCCCTGTGTGAAAAGATCTTACTGTGCCAGGAGACTGCCATATCTACCTTTTTCCAAAGACCCCATTTCTCCTCAGCCCAGAAAAAAAAGTGACATCTTGAACTAGGTAACCCCATACATAGAGCATTAGTGCTTAATGTCTTATAGTTTTCATAAAAGTAGTAAACCTCTCCAATTTTTTTATTATAACTTCAGTTGGTTTGTTAAGATGATATAAAATTCAACCCAGCATAGCCTACCAACCCATGAGGGGGCCAAGCAGGGAGGCCTTTGCTTCTTTGGCTGGGCCCATTAGGAGCCAAGCAATAGCCCACTCTACCAAGACATTTGCTCCCCTGGCTCTGCCCCATCCAAGCCAGAAATGCTTGCCTGAAGTTGTGAAAATGTCCTGTTGGTGCTAGATATGTCACCAAGAGGTGATATTTCTTCTTCTACCTCTTTAAGGTTTTTACTAAAAACTGCTATGCCAAGCAGCCACGCCTTAGAATGGGACTAGCACTGAACAAAATGAGAATTAAGAAACTTTGAACACCCTTGACATCCTTTCCTTCCCTAAACTCAATTGCTGCATTCTCAAGCTCTTCCTTCCTCCCATTCTCCCTGTAATTGATGCTATGGGGTGCATTATGCTCATGCACATGGAAGGCCAGAAAATTCAGGACTGATATTCCTGGGAACATTCTTTTTTTTTTTTTTTTTTTTTGGAGACGGAGTCTCACTCTGTCACCAGGCAGAGTGCAGTGGCATAATCTCGGCTCACTGCAACCTCTGACTCCCTGGTTCAAGCGATTCTCTTGCCTTGGCCTCCCGAGTAGCTGGGATTACAGGCACACGCCACCATGCCAAGCTAATTTTTGTATTTTTAGTAGAGACGGGGTTTCACCATGTTCGCCAGGATGGTCTCAATCTTCTGACCTTGTAATCTGCCCACCTCGGCCCCCCAAAGTGCTGCGATTACAGGCGTGAGCCACCACACCCAGCCCCTGAGAACATTCTTAACCAGTGACTAAGGAAGTTGCTGTATAAATATTGCAAGTCCTTTTCCTCTTGTGTGGGAGAACTCTTGGGTGCATGTTCCATGCTGGTTCTGGGAGTCCCCTGGTAGGATTTAGCTTCAGTCACCCACATGGGTAATTTTCTTGACAATTCATCTTTTATTGGCTACTTTCCCTTGCCCACCTAACTTCCTTACTTGTGTAACAGTAACCTTCCAAATAAATTACTTGCATTTGTATCCTTGTCTCAGGGTCTGCTCCTGAGTGAATTCAAACTAAGAGGCTCTACTTCGCCCCTATTAAATGCTCTCTGGGTGGACTCTAATGGGCTCATTCTTATTAAAGTGTAAACAGCTCCTAAGGATCAGGGGAGTGAGTTTCAAAGTGGAAATATACTTAAGGCAGTAGTTCTAAAGCAGTGGGCTGGACACACGGGAGTTCTTGATGCGCTTGCTGCCAAGTTTTGATCTAACGGTAAAATCTATTTTTGCAACAACTGATCGTACTTATTGTTATTCACTGTCAGACAGAGTTGTGAACCGAGAATACCCTTGGGGACAGAGTAAATTGGGGTACCATTTGTAGCACATATGAGTAAAGAAGCCCAGCATTATGTCAAGCCACGGAATGATGATGTGTTCTTTTGAGAGGACACAACAGGCTTCCAGGTCAGGATGGTAAATTGTTCTGCTCTAATAGTGATGGTGGTGGTCGTAGTGGGGATGATGGTGGTGGTGGTAGTGGGGATGATGGAGTCATTCTTTGACATGGAGTCAAAGAATTGCCACATAACTAACGGGATAATCATGGGTGATGTACAGACACTTTGAGACATCATAGAACTGTAAAAGTGACTGTGTTGTCATTATGGTGGACTTGTTGAGTATGGATGAGTCTCTTCATCCCTTTAATCTGAGAAGTGTGCCAAAACACACATACAAAATCTTTAATTGTGGCTTTCAGATCACAGCCAGTGAGAGGGATCTGGAAGAAAGAGAAGACAAGGAAACATTTTTGGAGACTTTGAAATCATATACCACCACCACCATCATCATCCCCACTACCACCACCACCATCATGCTCACTACCACCAACAGTAAAAGACTTGGTTCCAAATAAGGAATGTTTAAACTGACTGTGATATTCAGTTCTCAGGTTTACCTGTTGATTTTCTTTGAAGAAAATCCCATCACTAAATGTACAGTTTGAAAACCATAGATATGCCTGATAATTTTATTCTTAAAACTACCATTAACTTGCAGGTGAGGAAAGTAAAGTTGAGAGAAATTAAATGACATGCCTGAAGCCACAGACTAGACGTGAGCTAAACTAGTACACAGCTGTGGTCCAAAACCTCACCATGTCTAGTGCTCTTTCTTCTACATTATTCTACATTTGCGTATTGATGATGAAACACATGGTTTAGTAATTTCTTGGCGTTGATGCTTGTTTTGGTGAGAATAGGTCAGAAAACAGTTTATAGAAAGTTCTTAGAATTTAGGCTGCTCCAAGAAACTCACCAAAACAACTCCAAGTCTTTCCCTCCCTGAGCCATACTTAACACTTGTTATTCCAGGAGCTGCTTCGATGAGACATATTCTCACAGCTTATCTAATTTGTCTACACTCTCCATACACTTTGCTGAATGCCCTCAAATTTCACCTGTATCCGTCTACTATTGCTGCAATACTGCTGCAAAATAAAAACTTTGTGACTGAGGAAAATAAGCCTTTCTTTTTCTCACTTACAGATCTGCAGGTTGACTAGGGCAATTCTGCCTTAGTTCAGGTTTGTGTCTGTTCCATGTGACTAATTCTGGAGCACAGGGAGAAAGGGCAGTGGCTACCCAAGTTATGCTCTTCTGTTGGCTGTCAGAATAGCAGAAGGCCAAGCCAAACAGTGCAAGCATTATTTAAAGCCTCTGATAGAGTCATATCTGATCACATTCCATTGACCAGAACAAGTCAATGCCCAAGCCCAGAGTCAGTGACTCAGGAAGTGTACTGTGTCCCAAGGTGGAAGGGAAATGAGTGAAGATTTACTGAACAATACCTCAATCTATCACATCAGCTAAAATTGTGATTCCCACGAAGGGAGGTCAAGCAGGTCTTTCCAAAGTCCTCTAAATCTAAAATGCAATACTATTAATCAAGTTAGTCCCATAAGCTGCGAGGAGGAGACCATCCCAAAGTGACCTTTCCTGAGACACCCAGGGGGAATGTGTAATGGCACTCTTCCAGGCTAGAGACAGCAAGGTAGAAATTATCTAGTGGAGACCATGGCATTTCAAAAATCAACTACTTCACTTCTAAAAACCTGCCTCAAACCAAACTTTCAAATCCCCTTTCTTTGAGGATTGGGGCCTGAAGATAGAGAGAAAGAGCAGATGTGGACGACTTATATTCTCCATCCTCAATAATCAATTTCTAGCAATGGAAGTCTTGGCAAAGACACAGAATGGCACAGCAGCTATAAACAGGCTACTGAGTTTCACAATTGCATGTTTGAGTCTCTACCAATGCTGGATACATTGGTTCTTCCTTTCAACTCTACAACATCCATTTCCCCTCTTTCTTCCTAATAAAATCCCAATTTTTCTCAGGAAATGTTCCCCCTCAGGGGACAATGACCCACCTCCAGCACAAACCCCAGGGACAGACTGAGAGGGAATTCCATTCACCTTGCCAATGATTGGTTCCCAAGTAGGTAAGTGACCTAGATTGGGCCAGTGAGACATACAGTGTGCCTGTGGGGGAAAGTTTGCTGGAAAAAAGAAAGAGATTTCAAGAAAAATTTCATCATTCCAAGGAGAAAACTCTAGGAATAAACTGTCCCTCTCTTCTTCCCCTGGACGTAGCAAAGGGAAATGTGGGGAGTACTTTTATTTTTTCAACATTACACAATTATTACATGTTCTTTTTTAGCACTGTGAGAAAATAGAGATAAGCAATACAAGAAAAGGAAGAAGAAGTTCACACCTGATCCCATCGCCCACAGAAATCACTGCGAACATTTGTGCGTATTCTTTCAGATTTTTTTGTTGGTGGCTGCTTTCAGAAGGAAAGGAAAGGGGAAAAACTGGTATCCTCATGCACTACTTCTGGGAGGGTGCATTGGCTTGGCCTTCTGCTATTCTAGATGTCATTGCTAGTGCCCTATTTCTGCCTGAGGATGTAGGCAACAGGAAGATGGCAGAGCAGAGAGGTGGAAAGAAGAGGCACCCTGAGGACATTGCTGAGCTGCTGAATCAACCTCCCCTGAAGCTTGCCCTATGTCCTCATTTTTAAATGAGATAATAAAATATCCTTGTTGATGACTCTTGACTTGAAGTTGAAAGCGTCTTAACAGTATCTACCTCTGCCACTTCCTAGCAGTCTGCCTTTGAGTAAGCTGCTTAATTTCCTTAACTTCATTTTTGCGCCAGTACCTCTGTCATGGAATTGTGAGGAGTGAATGACAAGGCATATGAAGCATTTGCAAACTTGTTGTGTCTAGTAGCTGGGAAGGGGGAAATATCTCACAGCATGATTTTATTACAGGGCTTTTTGGTGCCTTCTAGCAAGAAAGTACAGTTCTGGGGAAATAACTGCAGTTTCTGCACTTCCTTCATGTTTAGATTTGTCGCCCCCTGGCCGTTTCTTCTAGAAATTTACAACAAAAACCATCACAATGGGAAGGGCTCCTGTCCTTTTTAGGGTGTGGCAATCAGGGTCTTTTGTAGTCATCACTACCAACCCTGTGAATGGGTAGGAGCCTCAAGGAGAAGAGATGTGGGGGGTGCTTTTATTTTTTAAACATTATACAACTATTACATGTTCTTTTTTTTAGCACTATGAGAAAATAGAGATAAACAATACAGGAAAAGGAAGAGGAAGTTGACACCTGATCCCATTACCCAATGAAATCACTATGAACACTTGTGTGTATTCTTTCAGACTTTTTTGGTGGTGGTTGCTATGAAAAGGAAAAGGAAACAGGAAAAAACTGGTATCCTCATGCACTGCTTCTTGGAGGGTGCATTGGTAAAGCCTTTATTAGAAGGCAACTTTGCAAGATCATTAAAAAATAATAATAATGCACCTCCCCTTTCACTCAGCAATTCCGCTTCTAGAAATCCATCCCCTGGAAGCAACAACGAAGGTAGTAGGTACATAGATTCAAAGTGCCAGCACCCACTACTCACAAAGCAAAGACTTGGGACCAACCCAAATGTCCATCAATGACAGACTGGATTAAGAAAATGTGGCATATATACACCATGAAATACTATGCAGCCATAAAAAAGGATGAGTTCATGTCCTTTGCAGGGACATAGATGAAGCCGGAAACCATCATGCTCAGCAAACTATCACAAGGACAGAAAACCAAACACCACATGTGGGTTTTGAACAATAGGTGGGAATTGAACAATGAGATCACTTGGACACAGGGCAGGGAACATCACACACCAGGATGGGGGGCTGGGGGAGGGATAGGAGAAATACCTAATGTAAATGATGAGTTGATGGGTGCAGCAAAGCAACATGGCACATGTATACCTATGTATCAAACCTGCGCGTTGTGCACATGTACCCTAGAACTTAAAGTGTAATAATTAAAAAAAGAAAATATGGTACATATACATAATGGAGTACTATTCAGCCATAAAAAAGAATGAGATCCTGTCATTTGAAAGGAGATTCCTGGCTAAGTGACATAAGCTAGGCCCAAAAAGACAAAGTGCCAGCACCTTTATACACATCTTATGTAATTCAGTCAGTCCTCACAGCAACCTTACTTTACTTAATAACAGCTTTATTGAAATATAATTCATATACTAACTCAGTCCATTTAAACTGCTATAACAAAACGCCATAAACTGAATGGCTTATCAACAACAGAAATTTGTTTCTTACAGTTTTGGAGGCTGGGAAGTCCTAGATCAAAGCACCGGCAGATTCAGTGTCTATTGAGGGCCCACTTTCTGGTTTATAGACGGTGCCTTCTTGCTGTATCCTCACGATGGAAGGGGTGAAGGGTCTCTCTCCAGCCTTTTCAGTAATGGCAAAAATCTCATTCAGGAGGGCCCCACCCTTATGACCTAATCACTTCCAAAACGTCATCACATTAGTAATTCGGTTTCAAAAGATGAATTTCAGGGGGACGTAAATATTCAGACCATAGAACCTACCATACAATTCAACCATTTAAAGTATACAATTCAATGGCTTTTAGTATATTCACAGATAGGTACAACCATCACCACAGCAAATTTTAGAACACTTTTATCACCCCAAAAAGGAAACTTCATACCCATTAACAGTCACTCTCCATTTCCTCCCTTCCCACTCAACCCCAGCCCCTAAAAACCACTTATCTACTTTCTGTCATTATACATTTGGCAATTCTGGACCTTTCATATAAATGGAATCATATAATATGTAGCTTTTTATGACTGACTTCTTGCACTTAGCATAGTGTTTCAAAGGTCATCCATGTTGGATCCTGTATCAGTACTTCATATCTTTTTAATGTGACATAATATTCCTGTGTGTGAATATGCCAAATTTTATTTATCTCTTCATTAGTTGATGAACAGTTGGGTTGTTTCCACCTTTTGGCTATTATGAATAATGCTGCTATGAACATTTCTAAACGAATTTTTGTGGCAACATGTGTTTTTATTTCTCTTGAGTATATACCTATGAGTGGAATTGCTGGGTTAAATTGTAACTCTGTGTTAACCTTTTGGGGAATGCACAGACTGTTTGCAAAGCAGCTGCATCATTTTATATTCCCACCAGCAGCACATGAGGATTCCAATTTCTCCACATCTTCTCCCACACTTGTCATCTATTTTTAAAAATTATATCCATCCCAGTGAGTGTAAAGTGCGTCTCATCATGGTTTTCATTTGCTTTTCCCTGATGGCTAGAGGGAGATTATTACCATGACTTTCAATGTACAGATGAGGAAACTGAGGCACAGAGAGGGTAATTAATTTATATATCATGGCTTAGTAAGTGTCCAAAATTGTGTGTGTACAACAGTACATGCAGAAGGAAGTTCGCTGCAACACTATTTGTGAAAACAAAAATTATAACTGTATGTTTACTAGCAGGGGTTTATCCCTGCAGAGAACCATTATGCAACTATCAAAGAATGAGGAAGGACCATTCATGCTGACACAGAATGAGCTCCAAGACATGTTGTTAGTGAAAAAAGCCAGCCACAGAATCATATGTACAGCACAAACCTGTTTGTATTAATACATATATGGATTGGAAGGCTCCTCACCAAACTGTTCACAATATCCCCTAAAATAAAAGCTCCATGAGAGCAGGGATTTTTGCCATTTGGTATATGGTGAATGGCTGTATTGCCAACCTTCAAACAGCATAGAATAACAGCTGAATCTGTTGTTAAATGAACAATTCCTTGAGACAGAGGAATGAAAGGCAGGAACATATGTAGATGAACCCATTTTATTCTGCAGATCCATGTCCTCTACACATGAATTCATGTAGTAGTTATATTATTTTTGACACAGAAAAAAATAATGAGGAATTCTTGAGGCCTTTAGCAAGAAAAAGATGAGGTCCCCAGAGAGTTGGTATATAACTGAGGAATGGCCTCAGTCTCTTCTGAGGATGCTGCGAGGACCCTCCTGGGCCACAGTGTCCCTCATTTCAAGTGAGTGCAGCTCTCACCCAACTGAGCTCCACCTCTTAGGGTTGAATTGGGGTTGATTAGCTGGTGGGGCAGACACAGGCCTGCTCCTGCCCTGCTGGACATCCCACCCTGATCAATAAGCCACTCTTTCAGTTAACAGAAATCCAATGTTGGGTTGCTAGCAGTGAATCTTGTTTTCATGCCTGAGAAGATCTTAAAAATCAATAAGGATTAGAGGGACATGACCATGTATTGTTCGTTCTATTGTTTTTTCAATATTTGTTTAATTTTTCATTCCAGTTAAGCCCTCTGAAGAGGCCCAAGGATCAAGGGCTTCTTGTGAAACACAGACAGGTGCATACGTCACATCACTCAAGGCTAATGGCAGGTTAGTGAGTTGAGAGACAATTAGGGAAGGGACCAGGAGCTGTGGTTTGACTCTGTTTTTCCAGTCAAGTCAGGATAAAGGAATGATCTCTATTTTATAACAGGTGCAGATTAAAAAATTCAAACAGTGAAAATGGCAAGTTGCACCAAAAGTGAGGATTAGTGGAAGCCAGGAAAGAGATATGTAGGTTGGGTGGACAACAGTCTGCTCCTCACAGTTGAAGGGGATGTTATGGTTCTGATAATGTCTTCTCGATTTTTTTATGAGCAAGGTATCTCCACATTCTCTTACTCTAGCCCTTTTCTCCTGCCAAGAAGGCACAGAGCTAGGTGTTCAGTGGGGTATGGATTGGGCATTGTCTTTGACTTCCCTGACACAACTGTTCAAGTACCAAGTCCTATAGATTTCACTCCAAAATAACTTTCTATTACATCTATTTCTCTCCATCACCACTGTTATTGTTTTAGTTCAAGTCACCATCACCTTGAGTCTGGATGTGTACGGTTGCTTCCTAAGCTGTCTTCCTGTCTTGAGGAAGAGTCCTGCTTCCCTCCACTTCCTTCTCCACACAGAGAGACTAAACTCAAGAGGCAGTGTTGCCTTGCGATTAGGGCAGCGTGGGCTCTGGAGCCAGGATGCCTGGGCTCGAATCCTGACTCTTCCAGATATGTGACCTTGAGCAGGTGACTTCACTCTTCTGTGCCTTGGCTGGCTTCTCTCATAAATAGAGGTGCTAATCTGCACATCCTTGATAAAGTCATGGTGAGGATTAGGCGAACTCATATAGATGAAGTGCTTAAAACAGGGGCTGCCAGATCCTAGCAACTGCACACACGTGAGCCAGCATCTTTCTTTTTTATTTTTATTTTTATTTTGAGACAGAGTCTCGCTCCGTCACCCAGGCTAGAGTGCAGTGCACTGCAACCTCCACCTAACTGCAAGCTCCACCTCCCAGGCTCAAGCGATTCTCGTGCCTCAGCCTCCCGAGTAGCTGGGATTACAGGTGCCCGCCACCATGCCCAGCTAATTTTTTGTATGTTTAGTAGAGATGGGTTTTCGCCATGTTGCCTAGGCTGGTCTCGAACTCCTGAGCTCAGGTGATCTGCCTGCCTTGGCCTCCCAAAGTGCTGGGATAACAGGTGTGAGCCCCCGCACCCAGCTGAGCCAGCATCTTTCTGAAATGAAGCCCCCCTAGTTATGCTGTGGTTGGGACAGAGTCCAAACTTATAAGACTCTATAGGACCTGCCTACCTTTCTCTTCCCATCTCTTGGTGACTCTGCTTCACATTTGACACTCACGTTAAATGTCTTTTTGTTCCTCTAGCAAGACAGGCCAGCAGGCCTACACACAGGCTGTTCCCTCTCTGCCTAGTACATTCTCCCCAAAATTCTTCCCCATCCCCGCTTCAAGGATCACTCTTCCTCAGGTCTTAGATGCTGTTTTCTTTAGAAGCATCCCTCATGCATCAAATTCTGATTAGAGGCCATTCATTGTGTTCCTGTGGTACCCTTACCTCCCATCAATGCGCTTGCTACTTTGTATTTTCCAGTTTTTACTACAAAATATTTCACACAGAAAAGCCAAAAGCACAGTGCAATAACAGTACAGTAAACTCCCATATACTCCCAACAATTGGTAACGTTTTGCCATATTTGCACATTCTCTTTCTGTCTCTCCTTCTCTCCCTCTGTATTTATTTGTTTCCAAGTAAATTACAGACATCATGATATTTCACTCCTAAATATTCCAGCTTGCATCTCCCCAAAAGAAAAAAAGATGAGGGGGTATTCTCCCACCTAAAACACAATAATTTCATCACACCTTAAAAAATTAATAATTCTCTAATATCACTGAATGCTTGGTCTACATTCAAATTTTCCCAGTCATTTTCCAATTCTCTCTTAGGGTCTTCCTGCTCCATTGCATTTGAATTGCTCTTTCATTGGCCCAAGGGCTCTGTAAGGAATGGAAGGTGTCCCCTCTGCTCTCCTCTCCCAGCACGCAGCTCAGGGCAGCCCCTCCGTATGTTTATTAAAAGAAAGGACAACACCCCGACCCCCCATGCCCCACTTCCTCCAGCTGGGAAGGGTCCTCGGCCCCCTACACACACACTGACCCATCATGGCATAGCATCCCTTCTGTAGTTCAAGTCAGAAACCTGAAAGACATTCTAGACCAACCCCTCCCTCAGGTGGCTGCCACTCTCTCCAGCTTAACCCCTCCCCATTCCCATGATCTCAGCCAGGGCTTCGGTTCTGCCCTTCATCTTCCCTCACCCCTCTCCCTGAGCCTTGACGCCTCTGATGCTCAAGTGTGTCCCCGTCCTGCCTCAGAGTTCCCTCTAAAAGACAAACCCACTCTGGTCACAACTCTGCTTCAGACCCTTCTGTGGCCCTCCCAGGGCCCAACCTGCCTACCAAGTTCCAATTTGGAAGCTCCTCCACCTTCTTCCTCCTCCCTCTTCTGACCCCTGCCCTCCCTTGACCCCGGCCTGTGCTTGAGCAGTTCAAAACCATCCATAGATCTCCAAGCACACCATGCTTTTCCATGCCTCCATGCCCTCTCCCTGAATCGCCCGCTTCCAGTGCTTTACCTTTCTCTGAGAACTGGAGAGAAGCTCAGACATCATTTTTCCCAGGGCCCATTCAATGACCTGCCCTTTCCTGGCAGAGAGCCCACAAAAGTCTTGGGCACAATAAATGTTTGTTAAATAATTGCTGAGTGGGTGAACAGAAATATCATCCTCCCCTTCCTCACTGGACGGAGACAGCTGCAGCTCCAGCCCATCCCAGGCCTGTGCCCTGGGCCCCAACTTCAGCCCGGCCCAGCCCAGCCCAGCTCTGCACGGCTGCCAGATGAACCTGACACAGCCTTGGCAGGCAGCCTCTGAACCACTGCCAGGCCCATATGTAGCTTTCCCTTTCCTAAGGAAGAATGGGCAATGACAGGCTTGGGCTTCTTTATTTGTAAAGAAAATAATTAAAAATCTAAACAAAAAAGAGGATTTTTTTTTTCTTTTAAATAGCTTCATATTCGGAAGTCATCTTTAGGTTAAGTACCTCCTGGGAGCTAGAAGGTGAGATGATATGGCCCCTTCTGCCTTGAATAAAATTCTCAGAATGCAATATTGCTGATATAGTTTGAATGTTTGTCTCCTCTAAATCTCATGTTGAAATGAGATTGCCAGCATTGGAGGTGGGGTCTAGTGGGACATGTTTGGGTCACGGGGGCAGATCTTTCATGAATGACTTGGTGCTGCCCTGGTGATAATGGAGTGAGTTCTTACCCTGTAAGTTCACAAGAAAGCTGGTCATTTAAAAAGAGCCTGGCACTCTCTTGCACCCTTTCTCACCGTGTGACATGCTCCCCCCTCACCTTCTGCCATGAGTAAAACTCCCTGAGGCCTCACCAAAAGCTGAGCAGATGCAAGTGCCATGCTTGTACAGCCTGCAGAAACGTGAGCCAAATAAACCTCTTTTCTTTAAAAATTACCCAGTCTCAGGTATTCCTTTACAGCAACACAAAACAGACTAACAGAATTGCTTTTATGCATTTCTACAAAAAAAAAAGATATTTCACTTGTACTTCATTATTCTGCTGATTAAATTATAGTGGGGCAGGGATGGAGGACTTTCAAGCAGTCAAAGACTTTCCTGGGTACACAGAGCTCATCTCACAACATACTTAAGAAAGCTCCTGATGCACCTGTCACTCCTGTTGCCAGCCCCTGCATCACAAGTGGTGCAAGCAGCGATGAAGTGTTTGTCGTTGTTGTTGTTGTTGTTGTTTACCTTTATAGTTTTCTGCTAAGAAGAAAACATTTTAGCAGCACAGACCAAACTCCAGTAGGTAAAAGCTCTAAGAAGCCTGGATGATGAAGGCCCAGAGAAGTAAATAATGAAGTGGGTTAAAGCTTGAATCTCTACTCCCCTCCCCGCCACTCGCTGAATAATCTCTTTTGGGTGAATTCGTTAACCTTTCTGAGCTCCAGATTCCTCTTCCATATGCAGAAGAACTCCTAGGGTTCTTTATGAAAACTAAATGAGATGCTATTTGTGTAGCAGGATGTAAAAATGACTATGGTCTCAGTTCAGGTATTGCCAAGGACAAAAGACATGTTTCAAAGTGAGCTGTGACACTGAGGCCATCATGCAGGGCTGACAAAAGAAGTGGCACGAAACTGGTTTCCCTCTTAACTGACCATCTTCAGCCCACAAAGAAAGCTGGGTGAGAAGAACAGTTGGTGGTGTAGAGGAGGAATTTTGGAGAAAGCAATAGGAGCACTCCAAGTCCCAATTGCCCACTACCCACCCTCCAAGATTGGCCTCCAAGATGCTGTGTCCCTGGAGGTTGACTGTCACTGAGGGCTGATGTCTGAATCATGTCTGTGAATCCCAAAATACAAGAGAGATGGAGTGATCAGCTGGAGTGGAGAGAACGTGGTAGCTTTGGATTTCCTGGGATAATGAAACGAGCATTTTCCATAAGCCAGAGATGTACTGTGGCCAACCTCTGGGATGTGTAGGTCCTTCTGACAAGGACCACCAGGAGGAATGGAAATTTACCTTCAGAGAAAAGCTGACAGCACTTGTTGTGGCCTCAACTATCCTCCCAAAATTTATATGATGAAGCCCTAACCCCCAGGACCTTAGAATGTGACTGCATTTAGAAGCAGGACCTTTAAAAATGTGATTAAGTTAAAATGAACCCCTTAGGGTAGGCCTTAATCCTCTCTGACTGCTGTCCTTATAAGAAGAGGACATTTGCACATGCCAAGAGACACCAGGAATGCACACACAGAGGAAAGACCATGTGAGAACTCAGTGAGAAGGTGGCCATCCACAAGCCAAGGACAGAGACCTCAGGAGAAAACAAACCTTCCAACACCTTGATCTTGGACTTTTAACCTCCAGAACTGGGAGAAAATTAAGTTCTGTTGTTTAAGCCCGGGGCCCCCAACTCCCGGGCCATGGACCAGTACTGGTCTGTGGTCTGTTAGGAACCAGGCCACACAGCAGGGACAGAGAGAGCACGAAGCTTCATCCATATTTACAGCTGCTCCCAATCATTCACATTACCACCTGAGCTCCACCTCCTGTCAGATCAGCAGCAGCATTAGATTCTCATAGGAGCACAAACCCTATTGTGAACTGCGCATGTGAGGGGTCTAGTTTGCATGCTCCTTATGAGAATCTAATGCCTGATGATCTGTCACTGGTTCCCATCACCCCCATATGGGACTGTCTAATTGGAGGAAAACAAGTTTAGGGCTCCCACTGATTCTACACTGTGGTGAATTGTGTAATTATTTCATTATATATTACAATGTAATAATAATATAAATAAGGTTCTCAATAAATGTAATGCACTTGAATCATCCTGAAACCATCCCTACCCTGGTCTGTGGAAAAAAGTGTCATCTACAAAACTGGTCTCTGGTACCAAAAAAATTGGGGACTGCTGGTTTAAGCCCCTCAGTCTGTGATATTTTGTCATGGCAGTCCCAGCAAACTAATACGGCACTGCTTAGATGCCAGGGAACTAAGGAAGGAGTCTTATTAGGCAACCAGCTTCAAGGGACCAGCAACTCAGAGATCCCCAAAGATGAGAAATAATGGTGCTCTCTGAAGTATCCACAAGATTGTGCCTAGAGAGAAAGAACTAGGTTTACACACCCACCAGAACCTGCCACTGAAATGCCAGCTTGCCACAGCATTAACCAAGTACGGACTTCCAGCTCCTTTCCTGCCTCTTCTCTTTTCCCCTTCCCCCTGCCAGGAGTCAGAATCATCAGTAAGCCAGAGGAGAGAAGGATGGAAGCTTAACGTGGGAAATGAGAAGCCAACCACAGACCCCCTTTCCAAGCTGCAGGCCCCACTGGAGGAGGGAGAAAAGTCTCCACTGGGAACCAAATTCAAAGATCTGGCTGATTCCCTGGGACTGGACATCCCAATTGCTGAATGAGGCTGTGCTGGAACTAAAAGCGACTTAAGAACTTTTGATTCCTGAAGGGGGCCCATAAGAGTTGTGGACCTACCTTAATTTTCATCCCAGGGCAAGGGAAGAGGGAGGACCTGCTGAAAAAAATTAGGGACAATGATAGGCAAAAATAAAGTTTGCTTCCATAATATACCATGAGTCCTGTGTATTTGACGTATGTTCTCTTACATATGAGGCAACTTAGCCTGGTCTCTGGCCAAAAAAGAGATACCACTCATTGAGCAATTCTTACCCTTTCAAATTCCTTCACTGTCGTCATTGAGCAATTCCATCTTCTTCAAGCAAGACAAAAGCTGATGCCAATAGAAAAATCATTTAAAATAAACAAACGAAAAAATTCCTTAAGCTGTCAACTTGGGTGCAGATGTTCTATGAAGCCAGAAACTGAATGTCACCCTCTATACACCATGACCTAGAGAAGCAGAATAACTCCAGACCAGCAGGGCTGGGCGGGTCTAAGATTCCCATACTACTTAAGAGAAAACTGAATTCAAATCCAGGCTCTGCCATTTAACAACTGTGTGACCCCGGGTGAATGACTTAAATTATCCGTACTTCAATTTCCTCATCCATAAAATAGAGATCATAAAGTATCTATCTGATGAAATAGCTGCAAAACAGTTAGAATGCTGCCTGGCACAGGGCAAAGGACTCACAATACACATAGCTATCATCATATATCATTGCCTCTCAAAGTGAAATATTGTGATGACCTTGGTTTATTAGCAGGATGTTGTAAAAAAAAATGCTTTACAAGGGGCATGATGACGAAAAGCGCAGATTCTAGAACCCGACTCCCTGGGTTTGAAAGAAGCAAGAATCTGAGGCATGTTGTATAAGGGTTTGCTATCATTACTATTCATTCAATGAGAGACATACAGTAATAGGTATACATATGCAATACATAGAGAAAGAGCTTAGTACTAGCAGCTATTATTAAGGCAACAGCCACCTCAGTAAATCTACATGGGCCATGAAGACCCTGGTCACCCAGAGATATCAGAGGCACTGAACAGGGCCAGACAGACAGAGGGTATTTTTCTAACTGGGAGGCTGCTGAACTTGACCTCTGTTGCTTTTCATTATTTATTTAACAGCAGATGGTGGCTTTCAAGAAAATCGGATGTCTTGAAGCCAGAAACCCATCCTCCTTGGGCTGGATACTCAGCCATCCCCTGCAACCCCACCCCCTAGCCCCAAGCTCTCATTGTCTCTCTTGTGTTACCTGGTCTGGTTTCTTCTTCCAGGGCAGGTCCCACCTTGCTGGGGAGAGGTGAATGACCATGGCCTTCCAGCCTCCCGAGAAGGGGATGTTCCAACGGGCGCAGAGATCTCTGGGCCTGGCTTGCCACTCACTGACCTGGGGCCTGAAGACTGACAGAGAAGCAGGCAGAAAATATAAAAAGCTGATACCCCCTGCAGGAAATCATTGTTTAGCCCATTCCAGACTAAAAAAACAAGTGCAACATTGGAGAAAGGAGGGTAAAGTGTCATTCGGGGCCATTGTTACAGCGGCTGCTCTGTGTGGTGGGGAAACAAAGCAGGCCTGTGTATGTGAGGACAATGCTGTTGTGTTACTAGCTGCTTCTGTGTTACTCCTGGGGACAGGAGGATGAGAAACGAGGCCACAGTGTCTTCCCTGGTGGACTTCACTCATCATAGTAGCCAGGCCAATCAGAGCTGGGAGAGGAATTTTGGACATTTAGCCCATGGCATTATGTAATAAGGGTCAGGGGACGTGCCTTCAGGTGTGACCACCTGCCTCTTTGTTAGTCTTCTATACATGAGAGATCACAAATGTCCCTCTCCTTTTCTCTTACTTGCTTTCAGAAACTTACCCCAAGTTAGAGCTGAAAAGAATGAGACATATCATTTCTCTAAACACAAATGTCATCCACTTCAATGCCTAACTTTTGTGATGGGACATCTGGCTGGGACTAAACCTCAGCCATGCAGCACGTTAGCAGCAGTTGGCAAGACTAGATGAATATTATAAAGCTTGCACCCACTGAACCCCCATAATGAACCAGACACTAGGTCATGAGCAACCTTGCAAAATGACCTCATTCGCTCCTGACTTCAAATTCTGACTCTGCAACTATTACCCATGGACTGTGAGCAAGTGTTTTCTCTGGGTGTTAGTTTTCCCATCTGTAAACCGGGATTATGATTGGGTTCCTAGGAGGATTAAATGAATTAATATATGCAAAACTCTTAGAACAGTGGCTGGCCCATAAAAGTGATCAAGAACCACAAATCACAAATTAGATGCCCACATTACACCTGAAACTTGCTTGTACTCATGAGGAGATGGTATGGGGATGGCTGGAAAGCCAGGATCCCAAGTGTCTGTATTTAGCCCTGTTACCTACTATGGCCTAAGTTCACCCTGTTAGGTCCCTGAAGGAATTGGGCACTAATAAATATTCTCAAGTATGAGACAGGTGACAAATGTGTGGAGAGGGCCCACTGTGATGCAACAGTGTGTGGCGGGAACTGTGGGGATTTGAAAGCTCACACCAGTCTTCAGAGGGCAGCCAGGGCTCAGCCTCAGCCAAATACTGCAATGCAGAAAGGTGGAAACAGCATGGTTGGGCCTGCACATTTTTAAAGAAAAGCCAGAAGGCTGGATTTTTTATGTCGAGTTTTCCAATTTTGAAACACTGTGGACCAAACACAACATTGTTAATGCAATGTGAGCCCTAGATCATGCAGTTTGTGATGCCTGATCTGGAAATTTCCAGATTTCCAGCATTTCCAAGCCAGTGCAACCCTGCTGACACTCAGAGCTTTTGTCCCCAACTTGCGCTACGGTCTGAGTGTATGCGTCCCCCACAAATTCATATGCTGAAATCTTCACCCCCAGGTGATGGTATTTGGAGGTGGGACCTATGGGGGGTGATTAGGTCATGAGTGTGGAGCCCTCATGAATGGGATTAGTGCCCTTATAAAGAGGCCCAAGAGAGCTCCCTTGCCCACAGCCACCATTTGAGGACACAGTGAGAAGACACCATCTGTGAACCAGGAAACCGTCCTCATCAAACATAGAATCTGCCAATGCCTTGGTCTTGGACTTCCCAGCCTCCAGAACTATGAGCAACACATTTCTGTTGTTGATAAAGCCACCCAGTTTATGGTATTTTGTTATATTAGCCCATATGGACTAAGACGACTGGTGAGCTGATCAGGCCACGTCAAAGCCACAAAGGGGGCATAAAGTCAAAAAGATTGATCAGCCCTTTCCCCCTGCAACCCACCCTCATCTCTGGACTGAGACAAAGGTGAGGAAAAGGGAAACTAGGGGAATAACAGGAGGGTGGCAAGGGCTCTCCTTAAAGGACTGCAGGACCCTGGGCCTAATCCACCTCCTGCAGGCATTCCTCTGACAAAGAAGGCAGCCAGGACTTAGTAGTGAAACCAAAGGGGAGAATAGGAGTTTATTTAAGCTTCCATAACCTTCATCAGTTACCTCAAATGAACCAAAGTAGCGTAAGTGACAAAATGTGTTTGCTATGCAAATGCACCTTAAAAACAAGACTGCTCACAATGAGATACCACTTCATACCCGCTAAGATTGCTATAATCAAAAAGACAGAACCAGTTACAAAATGTGTTTGATATACCAATGCAACTTCAAAACAAGACGGCTCACAATGAGATACTACTTCATACCCACTAGGATCACTATAATCAAAAAGGCAGAGCCAGATGCAGTGGCTCCCATCTGTAATCCCAGCTACTCAGAAGGCTGAGGCAGGAGGATCGTTTGAGGCCAGGAGTTTGAGACCAGCCTGAGCAACATAGCAAACATATGTTTTAGAGACAAAACATATTTTTTGTCTCTAAAACAAATAAAATCAAATTAGCTGGGTATGGTTGTGCATGCTTGTAGTCCCAGCTACTCAGGAGGCTGAAGTGGGAAGATCAGTTGAGCCCAGGAGTTTGAGGCTACAGTGAGCCATGATTACACCACTGTACTCCAGCCTGGGTAAAAGAGCAGAGACCCCCATCTCTCTGTCTCTTTTTTTTTTTAAACAAATGTTGGTGCAGATGTGGAGAAATTGAAACCCTTATACATTGCTTCTGGGGACTGTAAAATGGTGCAGTCACTTTGGAAAATGGTCTTACACTTCCTCAAAAGGTTAAACACAGAGTAATCATATGGCCCAGAAACTCCACTATTCCACTCTTCAGTGTATACTCCAAGAGAAATGAAACACATGTTCACACAAAAACTTTGTACATGATTGCTCATGGCAGCATTACTCACAACAGCTAAAAAGTAGAAACAACTCAAATGTCTACAACTGATGAATGAACAAACTATGGTATATCTGTACAAAAAAATATTATTCAGCAAAAAACGAATGAAGTACCGATACAGGCTATAACATGAACGAACCTTGAAGAAGTTTCTCCTCTTATGCTAAGTAGAGGAAACGAGTACAAAACATATGATATGTGGTCTTTTGTACTCGTTTCCTTTACTTAGTATAAGAGGAGAAACCGTATCATATGATCCAATTCATGGGAAATGTCCAGAAGGCAAAACCATAGAGACAGAAAGCAGATTAGCGATTGCCTAGGGCTGGGTGTGATGGGGAGAATTGGGGGCAGAGGTGGGTGTTGATAGCTAAAGGATATGCTGTTTCTTTTGGGGATGATGAACATGTTCTAAAATTAATTGTGGTGATAGTTGGACAACTCTGTGAGTATACTAAAATTCATCGAATTTTACACTTCAAATGGATAAATTGTATGGTATGTGAATGTTAATTCTATTTCAATAAAGCTACTATAAAAAAACCCTCAATACTAAGATTGCTGCCCTTAATCATTTTCTACTAATAAATTCTGTGTCCATATCCCTTGCTTCATATCTGCCCCACTGGAGAAATCAGGGCAAGTGTTCCAAAAGGCTGGTTTCCCCCAAGGCTCAGGGCTCAAACTTGGGTGACTAACTGGCCTGGTTTGTCCAGAACTGTCCCAGCGCTAGCCCTGAAAGTCCTGCATCCAAGGAAACCCCTCATCCCTGGGAAAACTGGGATGGCCAGTCCCCCTCGTGCAAACCCTTGCCCACAACAGGGGAAAGCTCTGCCCTTTAGCGTTGCCAATGACTAGAACTGAGAATCCACATAAGCAATCCTTCCCCTTTTGGGGTATAAGTCATCCTTGAGCTCCCCCTAATGGCCAAAAGGTATTTTTATTATTGTTCCCATTTTACGGATGATGAAATTGAGGTTCCAAGAGGGGAAGTAATTTGCTAACAGTACACAGGAGTTGGAAACTGAACCTAGGTCTTTTCCCAAAGCCCAAGGTAGCCCTTCCACTCACTCATTATATTGTTTCTCACCATCACCAGACTGATTGTACAGGAACACTCTTAGATTGTTCTTGCTGCCTGAGGAAGGTAGTCAGACATGCAAAGAGAAGAAACACAAATTTACAGCTGTGGGACAACAAGGAGACATGTACAGCTTGGCGGTTAACAGTGCAGAATCTGGAGCCAGACTGGCCATATTTGAATCTGGGCTTTGCCACTACTTAGCTGTGTGACCTCAGACTACTTAATCTGCCTATGTCTGTTTCTCCATATGTAAAATGGAAACAATACAGTGTGTGTGCTTATATATGTATATGTACTTATGTGTGTGTGTACATATGTGTGTGTATGTATATACATACGTATATATATAATATCATAGGATAGGAATGGGAAGTAAATTAATCAGTAAATGTAAGGGCTTAGAACAGAGCCGGGCACATAACAAGTTTATTAAATAAATGAAAGTCAGCACTGATTCCTATATTCAGAATTGGAAAGAAATTAGGTTTGGCCTAATGAAAACCAGGCAATGGGACCAAATCACAGAAATGAACTCCGACATTCTGTTTTGTTCCCACCCATGAAAATGTTTATGGTTTAGAAATTGCTGGACATTCTGCAGACCACAGACAAACCTTTACATGCAACATGGCATTGGCAATCTGGGCAGCCCTACCAAAATGGGATGACATGGTGCCATTCATATCATACCAGCCCGCGAGAGTAAGGAGAGCTGGGAATCCTCCCACTGAAGCAGCTCCTGTCGCTCAGCTCTGCTCTCTGAACTAGATGGGTGTGATGAACACCATTTTACAGAGGTGGAAACTGAGGCCCAGAGAAGTTCAAGAATTTGTACACGGAAAAGTTAATAATGTGTAGAATTAGGATTCCAACTCAGGTTGAATTCTAAAACCCCTATGCTTTGCTGCCACCATGCATTAGTTACTATTGCTGTATAACAAATTACTTCAAAGCTTCATAGCTTAAAACAACAAACATTGATAATCTTAATAGTGTTTGAAGGCCAGAAATCCAGGCGTGGCTTCGCTGGGTGGTGCTGGCTCAGAATCTCTCATGAGGTTGCAGTTAAGCTGTTGGCCAAGACTCCTGCCTTCTTAAGGCTCTACTGGGCCTAGACAATCTGCTTCTCAGGTCAGTAATGAAGTTGTTGGCCAGATGCTTCAGTTCCTTGTCACCTAGGCCTCTCTGTAGGACTGTTTACAACATGGCAGTTTGCTTTCCCCAGAGCAAAGGATTCAAGTGAAAGAGAGCAGGGCACATGAGAGAGCACCCAAGCCAGGAGACAGGAACTTCAGTCTTTTTGTTAGTTTTTTGGTGCAGTCTTGTATAACCTAATCTCAGAAGTGATATGCCATTCACACCCACCATTTGCTATTGGTCATGCATACCAATCCTGGTACATGGTGGGAGGTGTCTACACTAGGTTGTGAACACCAGGAGGCTGGGATCATTGAGGGCCATCTTGAAGGCTGGTGACCACACTCCTCATTACTCTAAAGTAAGACAAGAAGGCACAATCCTGCAAATACCAAGGCAATATCCTCAAATAAGTCACAAAATTTCATCTTAGTCTAATCACTTTTTTGGGTGGTTGTTTATTTAACAAATATTCAATTAACCCAAGACAATGGGCCCAGCCCTATAGATACAGGCAGGAGTTAAACCTAGAACCTACATTGAGTTATAACAGAAACCAGGAATCAGGCCATGAGGGTTCATGGAAAAGAGAGGCCAAGAAAGAGAGCTAGAATCAGGACCCTGTGACAAAATGGTTCTAAAATCTTCTAATCCAGGAATGGGTTCCTCCTTAGACAATTTGATTTTTGGTTTCCTGGGCCTTGACAACATCCCCACAGAAAATGGAGTCGGGGAAGGGGAAGGGGGAGGAGAGGAGACAAAGGAACAAATGTCCTTAGCAGCTTACCAATTTCTGGAATTTCACAAATGGGCATTCTTTCTTAAGCTCGAATATATCAGAACCCATTTTTTGAGCTGGAATTTGCTTAAAAAAAAGTGGAGGGTAGGAAAAGAAAAGAGCCACCCAAATACTAAAGGTAGATAAAGGAAATGTCTGTTTTGATGTACGGTCTCTGAGAACAGGGCAAATCAGAGTCCAGTACTGCCAGTGCAAAATCACTCTTTACAATTATATTCATTATAATTACCTTTTTGAATAAATGAACTAAATCATTTCCATTAACCTCCTCCCCCATCTCACCCCCGTATAACAAGAACCTAGCTAGGTAGTAGCTTTCATTCCATTCCTCTCTTGTCCCCTCTCCCAAACACTTCCTCACCTGCTCTTGTAATCAGATCTTCTCTATGACTATGGGAAAGTTACTAAAAACCCTAAATGATTATTTCCCAATCTGGATAATACTAATAATACCAGCTCCAACCTACTACATAGGCTGAAAAACTATATACGCAGAAGTAATTTTACATTCAAGACAGGATGTGTGCATGTGTGTGTGTCAATTCCAAGAAGCCCGATATGCACAGCCTCATTTTCATTCCAAACACTGGTACGCCGATCACTCCTGAACAACTACGTTTCCAAGGCGCCTGCCAAGCTTGCAGGTGCATTCCCCAAGTGCGCCAGCCCACCCACATGGGTCAAGGGAAAACCTGTTTCCCTGACTTGGTAAGTAGACAAGTCAAGCCAATTTCCTCCCCGAGTAAACCATCCTCCGCCCTGGTCCCCCTAGTCCTTTGGTTCTAGAGTCTCGGGGTTTAGTCATCCAGCCGCCGCGTCCGTCTTGATCCGCGCTCACTGCCGCAGCACCACAACCGAAACGCCTTCCCCCACTCTGAAGGACTACAGCCCCCGGCAGGCCCCGCGACAACAGCGACAGCCACGTGACCTCGCTTCCCTGGGTGCCACGGTCATGTGACTTCGGCAAGATGGCTGCCCTGACAGCGGAGCATTTTGCAGCACTCCAGAGCCTGCTCAAGGTAAGTCGAAGGGGTGGGGACAGCGTGAGGTGGCCCTTTGTCTCCGAGACTTTAGACGGAGCAGGAATTGGGAACAAATTGACCCTGGTTTGGAGCCACAACTCTGCTGCTTGTTCTCTGTGTGATCCCAGGCAAATCGTTGCGTCTTTCTGAGCTTTTAAAAAGTAAGAACAAAATATCGTTTTGACAGGAACGTAAGATAAAAAAAAATAAAATAATGGGCATGAAGGCGCAGTACAACCTCCTGCTATTAGTCTTTGGGATTGGTTTTCGGTATTGGTGCATTGAAGTGGTAATTGCTAGACCCACGTTGTCAGTTCCCCATTTCATCCCGTAGCCCCTCCTGCATTGCACAATTAAGAAATTATCTCCTACTGCGTCTGCCCAGCCCTCCGAATGACCTGTGCGTTCAATGTTCCCTTGAGGTCCAGATTTTCCCTACTCTCTTTGACCTGCGAAAGGGGCAGGACATACTCCTGATAATCATTTGAAAAGTTGTGAGGTTGAAAGGGACCTACTTCATAGGGCTTTGTAAAGCTCAAATGAAGTATTATTATTATTTGAGACGGAGTCTAGCTCTGTTGTCCAGGCTGGAGAGCAGTGGCGCAATCTCGGCTCACTGCAACCTCCGCCCCCCGAGTTCAAGCAATTCTATGCCTCAGCCTTCCGAGTAGCTGGGATTACAGGCGCCCGCCACCAAGCCTGGCAAATTTATGTATTTTTAGTAGAGACGGGGTTTCAACATCTTGGCCAGGCTGGTCTTGAACTCCTGACCGCGTGATCCACTCGCCTCCGCCTTCCAAAGTGTTGGGATTACAGGCGTGAGCCACCGCGCCTGGCCGGAATTATTTAACTTATGATTTGCCCTGTAGGAGAAAGGGCAGCTTTATTTTCCTTCGTAGAACTTGTCGCTAGCTATTTGCCCGTTGTCCGTCTGTCTCATAAGAATGTAAGATCCATCAGGGACCTTTCCTTTCTTCCTCTCTCTTTTTTTTTTTTTTTAAACACCAGGTGAAGAGGGTTGAGTTACTCTCCTCAATTTATGGCACATCATCATCATCGGTCCATGTAATAGTCTCTGTTTTGTTTTACTTATTTATTTTTTAATTGCCTTCTCAGTGTTCATTAGCATTCTCCACTCCTAAGGGGATCTACTCTTTTGTTCACAAGTGTTAATGCCCAATAAGTAGAACAATAATACCTGGCACACAGCACGTGCTCAGTAAATAGCTGTTAAATGAATTAATAAATGAAGTAACAGAGCTGGGACTGGCAATCTAGGGCTCTCAGCTCCCAACCCAGTGCCTTTTCACCTTCATTTTGGCTGCTCTGTACCTACCCCCGCCCCTATACCTGTTGGTCTTATGCACTCTTTTCTTTTAAAAACTTTAAAAGATTAGTGTGTAGTATACATACAGAAAAGTGCATAAACCATACATTTACAGTTAAATGATTTATTACACACCAATGTAACCACCACCAAAGTCAAAAAATGAAATGTTACCAGTACCCCAGAAGTCCCCCTTTCGCCCTTTCTTTGCTTCCTCACTTTCTTCCCCAATGGTAACCTCTATGTTTGCTTCTGATACAATTCATTTAATATTGCCCATGTTTGAACTTAACATAAATGGAATAATACAGCATATACTTTTTTTTTATGCCTGGCTTCTTTTGCTCACCATTATGTAGCAGTAGTTCATTGATTTTCATTGCTACTGTCCTGTGTACTTTCTTTTCTTTTTTTAAAAAAATACTTAGACTTTTTATTATGAGATAATTATAAATCCATATGTAGTTGTAAGAAATAATATAGAGAGATCCCATTTATCCTTTACTCAGTTTCCCTCAGTTCTGCAGGATTCTGCGGAACTATACATAATATAGTATATATACTATTATGTATAGTATGTATATAATATAGAGTATACATACTACACGATATACATAGTATGTAGTATACATACTACGCGATATACATAGTATGTAGTATACATACTACGCGATATACATAGTATGTAGTATACATACTACGCGATATACATAGTATGTAGTATACATACTACGCGATATACATAGTATGTAGTATACATACTACGCGATATACATAGTATGTAGTATACATACTACGCGATATACATAGTATGTAGTATACATACTACGCGATATACATAGTATGTAGTATACATACTACGCGATATACATAGTATGTAGTATACATACTACGCGATATACATAGTATGTAGTATACATACTACGCGATATACATAGTATGTAGTATACATACTACGCGATATACATAGTATGTAGTATACATATATAGCATACTTACTATTATGTATGGTTCTGCATAGGGGAAATTGGGTAAAGGATAAATGGATGTCAATACCTAATGTCAAAAGTATTGATATTGACAGTCAAAATACAAAACATTTCCACCACCACAAAGATTCCTCATGAATAGCCACACTCTCCTTAACCTTTGGCGTTATTCATTTCTCTAATTTTGTCATTTCAAGAATGCCGTATAAATGGAATAATACAGTAAGTAACCTTCTGAGATTGACTTTTTTCACTCAGCCTAATTTTCATCCATGTTGTGTGTATCAATAGTTCTTTCCTTTTTATTGCTGAGTGGTATTCCATGTAATGATTGTCCAACAGTGTTGTACTGTGTAGTTTTCAGCATGCACATCCTGTATTTCATTTTTTGAGCAATTGCAAATGGTTTTGGTTTTTTTTGGTTTGTTTGTTTGTTTGTTTGTTTTGAGAGAGTCTCGCTCTGTGGCCCAGGCTACAGTTCAGTGGCATGATCTCAGCTCACTGCAACTTCCACCTCCTGGGTTCAAGGGATTCTCATGCCTCAGTCTACCAAGTAGCTAGGACTACAGGTGCCCACCACCCCTCCAGGCTGATTTTTTTTTTCTTTTCTTTCTTTCTTTCTTTCTTTCTTTTTTTTTTTTTTTTTTGTATTTTTAGTAGAGACAGGGTTTCCCCACGTTGGCCAGGCTGGTCTTGAACTCCTGGCCACAAGTGATCCACCAGCCTTGGCCTCCCAAAGTGCTGGGATTATAGATGTGAGCCACCATGCCCAGCCCGTATTTTTAATTTTAGTGTCCACATGTTCATTGTTAATAAATAGAAATACAACTGATTTATGTATGTTTATCTTCTACATGCAAACTTGCTAAACTCATTGTTTCTAGGAGTTTTTGGTATATTTCTTGGAATGTTCTACATGGAAAATCATGTTATTTACAAATAGAGACAGTTTTATTTCTTCCTTTCTGATCTGCACACATTTTATTTCCTTTCCTTGCCTTATTTTAGTGGCTAGAATTTTCAGCACTGTGTTGATTCAGAGTGGAGAAAGCAGATATCTTGCCTTGTTCTCAGTTTTGGGGGCAAAGCATTCAGTCTTTCACCATTAAGTATAATGTTCACTGTAGGTTTTTTGTAGATACTGTTTATCAAGATAAGGAAGTTCTCTTCTATTCCTATTTTTCTCAGGGCTTTTATCAATAATGGATGTTTAATTTTATCAAATGCTTTCTCTGCATTGATTTATATCATGTGATTTTCTTTGTTAATGTGATGGATTACATAGATTTGCAAATACTGAACCAGCCTTGCATCTGTGGAATAAATCCCACCTGGTCATATTGTATAATTATATATAATTATATGTCTCTATTTGCTAATAAAATATTATACATATATATAACTGATCTCTATTTGCCATTATTTTCTAAGAATTTTCGCATCTATTTTTATGAGGGATATTGGTCTGTAGTTTTCTCATTTTTCTGTACAATTTTGTGCGGTTTTGGTATCAGGGTAATACTAGCTTTGTAGCTATATAAAATCATTTAGAGAGTACTCCATCATCTTCTGTTTTTCTAGTGGAGATTGTGTAGAATCAGTTCATTCTTTTTTTAAATGTTTGCTAGAATTCTCCAGTTAAACTATCTGGGTCTAGAGACTTTTTTAGGAGCCTTAAAATTGTGAATTTAATTTTCTTAATAGTCATAGGACTATTCAGATGATCAATTTCATATTAGGGGAGTGGAAGTAGTTTGTGTTATTTGAGGAATTGGCCCATTTTATTTAAATTATCAAATTTATGTTTATAGAATTTTTCATTAAGTTCCCATTATCCTTTTGATGTCTGCAGGATCTGTGATAATATCCTCTATTTCATTCCTAATACTGATAATTTGTGTCTCCCCTCTTAACTTTGTCTGTCTTGCTAAAGGTTTGTCGATTTTTATTGACATTGTCAAAGAACCAGCTGTTTCTTTCATCGATTTCTCTATTTTCAATTTCATTGGTTTCTGCTCTTATCATTGTTACTTCCACTGCTTCCTTTGGGTTTATTATGCTTTCCTGTTTATAGGTTCTTGAGGTGGGAGCTTAGATTATTGATTTGAGACTTTTCCTCTTTTCTAGTATATGCATTTAATACTATAAAATTTCATCTCACCACTTGCTAGGCTGTGTACCACAAATGTTGATATGGTGTGTTTTCATTTTCACTTATTCAGTGTAATTTTTAAAATATCCCTGAGACTTCCCATTTGACATATGGATTATTTAGAAGTGTACTGTTTAAGTTTATAAGTGTTCAGATATTTTTCTGTTACCTTTCTGCTATTGCTTTCTAGTTTGATTCCATTGTGGTCACATAGAACACACTCTTCATTACTTCACTTCTTTTGAATTTGATGAAGTTTGTTTTATGGCCCAGAATATGATATGTCTGGGTATGTGTTCAGTGGACACTTGAAATGAATTTGTATTCTGCTGTTACTGGGTATTGTTTCATGAATATTAATTTAATTGATTGATGGTATTGTTAGTTCCTTCTATATCCTTGTTGAATATCTGTTTAGTTATGTCAGTTGTTGAAAGAGGAGTGTTGAAGTCCTCAGCTGTATTTGTCATTTGGTCTGTTTCTTCTTACAGTTCTGATAGTTTTTGCTTCACATATTTTCCAATTCTGTTGTTGGGTACATACACATTTAGGACATCTTCCTGGTGGATAAAATCTTTCATTATTAATGTCCCTCTCTGTCTCTGGTAATTTTCTTTGCCAGTGAAGTTTACTTTATCTATTATTAATTTAGCCACTCTTACTTTCCTCTGATTAATGTTTGCATAATATATCTTTTTTCATTCTTTTACTTTCAACCTGCCTTATGTCTTATATTTGAAGGGAGATTTGTTGTTGTTGTTGTTGTTGTTGTTGTTGTTGTTGTTGAGACAGGGTCTCGCTCTGTCACCCAGGCTGGAGTGCAGTGGTGCAATCTCGGCTCACCGCAGCCTTTACTTCCCAGGCTTAAGCAATCTTCCCGCCTCAGCCTCCTGAGTAGCTGCTGCTACAGGCAAGTGCCACCATGCCTGGCTAATTTTTATATTTTTTTGTAGAGAAGAGATTTTACCATGTTGCCCAGCCTGGTCTTAAACGTTTGGGCTCAAGCTATCCACCTGCCGTGGCCTTGCAAAGTGGTGGGATTACAAGCCTGAGCCACCACGCCTGGCCAAGAGTTTCTTATAGATAGCATTTGAGTCATATTTTTAATCCACTCTGCCAATTTTTGTCTTTTAATTGGTACACTTAGACCATTTACATTTAGTATAATTATTTGTATGTTAGGGCGTTAAGTCTACTGTTTTATTTTTGTTTTCTGCCTGTTCTCTCTTGATTTTTCTTTCATTTTACTTTTTCCTGCCTTCCCATAGGTTAACATTTTTTTAGAATCCTATTTTGGTTTATCTGTAATGTTTTAAAGTGCATTTCTTTTTATAGCCTTTTTAGTGGTTGCCCTAATTACTACATTCTATATACGTAACTTATCACAGTCTATTGGTGTCATCATTTTACCAGTTAGGGCGAAGTATAGAAACTTTACGTCCCTTTATACCTCTTTATCTTCCCTCATTTATAATTGTCTTAAATATTTCCTCTATATACGTTTAGAGCCACATCAGATATATTATATTTTTTGCTTCAGCCTTCAAACATAATAGAAAACTCAAGAAAAGAAAGAGAGCCTACAGTATTTATCCATGTTTTTGTTTGCCCTGTTCTGTCTTCCTGATTGTGATGGTTTATTTTAGGTGTTGACTTGATTGAGGGATGCCTAGATGGTTGGTGAAGCGTTGTTTCTGAGTGTGTGAGGGTGTTGCCAGAGACAATTGATGTGTGAGTCAGTGGACAAAGACAGGAAGACCTGCCCTCAATGTGGGCAGGTACCATCCCATTGGCTGGGGACCCAACTGGGCCAAACAGGTGGAAGATGGGGGATTCCCTTTCTCTCTGTTCTCTCCCTTCCTTCTAAAGCAAGATGCCTTTTCTCCTCTTACCCTTGGACATCAGACTCTGGGTTCTTCATTTTTTGGACTCTGGGACTTGCACCAGTGGCCTCCCAGTGGCTCTCAGTCTTTTGGCCTCAAGCTAGGGGCTGTACCATCAGCTTCCCTGGTTCTGAGGTGTTGCCAGACTTTGACTGAGCCAAGCTGCCAGCTTCTCTGATCCTCCAGCTTGCAGACGGCCTATTGTGGGACTTTGCCTCTGTGATCATGTGACCCATTTCCCCCTAATAAATCCCCTCTTACATACCCTGTTGGTTTCGTCTCTCTGGAGAGCTCTGGCTAGTACACTGGTGTTCCATGGTTTCTTGTTTCATTGTTTCATATCTGTTTAGATAATTTATTTTAACCATTCTTTTACGGCAGGTCTTGTGACAGATATTCTTAGTTTTTCTTCAACTGAGAATGTCTCGATTTCTTCTTCATTCCTGAAGGATATTTTTGCTGGGTGTAGGATTCCAGGTTGACAGTTTTTTTTTCCCTTTCAGCACCTGAAAAATATTGTCACTTCTTTCTTGCTTCCATGGTTTTTGATATGAAATCTGCTTTCATTCTAATTGTTTTTTTTAAATAGGTAAGGTGTCATTTTTCTCTGCTTTAAATATTTTTTTCTTTGTCTTTCATTTTCGAAGTTCAATTATATGTCTGGGTATGAATTTCTTTGGATTTATCCTGTCTAGGGTTCACTCAGGTTCTTGAAATATATAGGAGTATGTCTCTAAGTAAACTTGAGAAGTTTTGAGCTATTATTTCTTTGAATATTCTTTCAGTCTTGCCCTCTTCTATCATCTCCTTCCAGGACTCCAATGATACAAATGTTAGGTTTTTCGTTATAGTCCCGCATGTCCCTGAGGCTCTGTTCATAGTTTTTTCTCTTTTTTCTGCTTTTCTGAGTGGGTAATTTCTACTTCTCTGTCTTCTGGTTCACTAATTCTTTCCTCTATTCTTTCCATTTTGGTGCTGAGCCCATCTACTGAGCTTTTTATTTTGGTTATTTTATTTTTCAGTTCTAAAATTTCCATTTTGTTGTTCTGTATATCTTCTATTTCTTGGCTGAGGAGGCGATTTTAAAAATTGTTTCAAGCGAGTTCATAATTATTTGTTGAAGCATATTTATCTGGCTACTTAAAATTCTTTGTCAGATAATTTTAACATCTGTCATCTTGGTGTTGACATCTATTGATTACCTTTTTTCATTCAGTTTGAGATCTTTCTGGTTCTTGGTTTAATGAATGATTTTCAGTGAAAACCTGGACATTTTCATATTATGTTCTGAGAATGGATTTTATTTAAATTTTATGTTTTAGCTGGCTTTCTGTGGCACTGCTTAGGCAGGGGAAGGGGGTGCCACCTCATTACTATCAGGTGGAAGTTGAAGTCCAGGTTCCCCACTTGGCATCTGTTGATACCTGAAAGCAGAGGTTCCTTGTTACCACTGGGTAAGGGTGGAATCTCTGACTCCACGTGGTCTCCACTGGTATCACAGAATGATGAGGCTTGTTACCAGCTGGTGGGGATAAAGGTCCCAGCTTCCTACTTGGCCTTCTCTGACACCTCCCCAGCAGGAATGTTGGGGTACCTCATTATAGCCTCACAAGTCTTCTTACTCAGGTCTAGGCCTCCCACTCAGCCTTTGTTGACATAGAGGTGGGTGGGGCTGCAGTTTTTCTATGATATTTGGCTGGAGTGTAGCAGTTGTCATCTAAAACTTTTCTGTCTTGCAAGGCTGCCTCTTTGTTGGTCCTTTAGCTAGACAGAAGAGCTATTTATTGTAGCGTTTTTCCCCCCTCTGCATCCATTGTCATTTCCTGTTGCCCTCTTCTTCAGCTGAAAGTCTGGGATATATGAAGCAAAAAAAATCCAGGGAACTCACCACTGTGTCATTCCTTGTATTATGAGGTCCCTAGCAGATCTGCCTCCTCTCCTGCTTCCAGAGTCTTATGTATGTTTTCTGTATATGTCCAAAGTTTTTGGTTGTACTTAGCAGCAAGATTAGGGAAAAGTACATCTATTTGATCTTCCTAGAATCCAAAGTCTTATGTACCTTTAAAATTTAAGTCTCAAAGGTATCATGTATGACAAAGACATTATTACTCAAAACATGTGTTTTCAGAGTCTGAGTTTTTTTTTTTCCTATCTGTGATTTAATTCATAGGCCTCCTCGAAAGATGTTGTCAGACAGCTGTGTCAAGAAAGCTTTTCCAGTTCAGCCCTTGGCTTGAAAAAACTCTTGGATGTTACATGTTCCAGCTTGTCTGTGACCCAGGAGGAGGCAGAGGAAGTAAGTGTGGTCAGAAATGATCTTTGGCCACTGGCCCTCTTATTAGTCTCTTTCTTGACTTCCCAGTCATTGCCATGTCCAAGGAAAATCCCTTGAAACATCTGTTGACACTGTAGCAAACTTTTATAAATGGGACATGAATGGGAGAACTGTACCCAGAATCAGAGCTCCTGACCATTTTCTTTCAGACCTATTACCTAGACAATGTGGAACAAAAGCCAACCTTTCTGTGATTTTCTTTTCCAACCTATAACTTGCTGATGCTCATAAATTGTTAGCTGGATAGCTTAGGGCAGACTTTTCAGGGATCTTTGAACAGAAGGTTTGAGGCCTGCATAAGATTCAGGAGTAGGCACTGCTAGATTCCATCAGGCTTCCTGAGGGGTGCTTTGTGTATCTCACTCCCTCCTCACCCCTCTGTCCCACAGAAGGTCCCCTTCTCCTCAGCTCACCTGATCTCAGCAGGTAGCCAAGAGGGAGATTAAGGTAACTTGTGGTAAGTTATTATGTAGCAGTGACAGCCTTATCTTTCCAAGGCAAATATGTTTTTAAAACAGCACTTTCTTCATCTAAATGGGCCTATGTTTTTGGATTTTTTTTATTTTTGAGACAGGGTCTCATTTTGTTACCCAGGCTGGAGGGCAGTGGCATGGACATGGCTCACTGCAGCCTCGATGCCCCAGGCTCAGGCAGTCCTCCCACCTCAGCTCCACGAGTAGCTGGGACTGCAAGCATATGCCACGATGCCTGGCTAATTTTTGTATTTTTTGTAGAGACAGGGTTTTGCCATGTTGCCCAGGCTGGTCTTGAACTCCTGAGCTCAAGCAATCCACCCACCTCAGCCTCCCAAAGTGCTGGGATTACAGGCATGAGCCACTGCACCTGGCCTATGTTTTTTGTTTTAATTCTGGACCTTGTTTATTGAAGTGAGCTGTAGAAAAGGAAAAGGAAAAAGCAAGATTTTGGAAGTGATTTGGAGACTTATTTTGGGTTCCCCCCCAAAGTAGATTATTTGGGAGATGATTCTAGAAAACACAAAGCAGTGGGGAAAATCAAACAGGGAAGGCAAGTCAATGAAAGAGGATGTTAAGAGCAATTACTGCTATGGAAAACTTGGGATCCTGTAAGAAACCAAGTAGAACACCTCTCAGAATTGTTCCCCGGGAGAACAGAGAGGCTTGGCCATTTATCCATGAACACCCACTCTCACTGGTGGAAGGTTAACTTCCCTTCACTTCCGGGTTGTGTCAGGTAATCTGCAGTGATATCAGAGAAAGCCCTAAAGCAGAGAAACAGTTACCTCCAGAGAGCTTTTTTAGGTTAGCTAAGTATTACTCTATTCACAAGACCACCATAAACCCCTCTTACACTTCAAAGTTACAGATTCACTTAGAAGGACCTAGGATGGGAACACAGCATTTTAGCAGGACGGGCAGACATGCCTCTTCCCAGGAGGAACCCGCACAGCCGGCCAGGAGCTGTTTGTTCTCTTTGCCCTCCTAGGCAACCAGTTGAGAGGAAAGGACATGAATCCTACCACCCTGGATTCAAGACCCTCACTCCACAGGAGCCGGTATCTTGTGTCACGGTTCAGTAAGCACAGCTTCAGGTTCTCGAAAGGAGCCTGTAGCCACACATAGGCAAGTCCAGAGCTACCGGCACCCCAGGTATTTATGCAGTCCTCTCAGTCCAGAGCCTTGGACCAATGCAGTGTTGCTTAGTAACACAGCTGACTTTGCACTGCTCTCAGGTTACCAGGGAAACAGCACCAGAAAGTTAACTGAAGGTCAGATTCTCATGCAGAAGGAAAAGGGCTATATTAACTCTTTGTCCACAAGTGGAGAGTTTCTGACAAGCTGTCAGCTTCCTAGGTCAGGGAGCTGCATCTGTCTTCTAAAGCAACAGGTGAACTCCGAGGCAGGCCAAGGCATGTGGGGCATGAGCATGTGCCACAGAGGCCTCTGGACTTGTGACTCAGTTGAATGACCATAGCAGTGTGCAGCCTTCGGGGTGTAGAGCCCTGCCCCTGGCCCTGCCTTGTGCCCCCTGCCTGCTGCTTCTGTTACAGCTACAGGTGGTTCCGTTTATCTTGCAGCTGCTCCAGGCTCTGCACCGCCTCACTAGGCTGGTGGCATTCCGTGACCTGTCCTCTGCCGAGGCAATTCTGGCTCTCTTTCCAGAAAATTTCCACCAAAACCTCAAAAACCTGCTGACAAAGATCATCCTAGAACATGTGTAAGTGCTCATTTCTTGAAAGTCCCTTCTAACTTTTACATTTCTTATTATTTTTATTCTCATTCTAGAAGTAGTAATATGCTCATTGTTGAAAACTTAGGAAGCCCGGATAAGCAAAAAGAAAATAAGACACCTGTAATTCCACCAGCCAGATGTTAGTGGTAGTCTTTTCTTAATGGAAAGCCTTTTAAAACATGTTTTTTTTTTCCTCTTTACACCTCTGTAAGAGGTTGATGTTTTGTTTTTGTTTTTACAAAATGGATCATGCTGTTTTGTAACTTGCTTATTTTCTGTTAACAGTATTAACGATAGTGAAATTTCACGTCAATGTTTACCTTCAATATCATTGTAATGGTTAAACATATCCTGTTATAGGAAGAAATGATGTATAATTTTAAAATTTCTTAGTGTTGGACACTGAGGCTGTTGGCATTTTTTCATTTCAGTGAACAATTTACAATGAAAACTTTGCTCCTGTGCTTAATTATTTTTTTACTGGGTTAAAGGTAATGGACATTTTGAGGGTTTGGCCTTAAATGTTCAAGTTGGCCATTAGAAATATTGCAGTATTTTTCCACAGTAGTAGGATACAAGTGTACCCCTCTCCCTACGCCTTCACTGAGGGGATTTTTTTCTTACATTTTTCCCAGTTCCACAATGGCAAATGGTACCTCATTTCAGTGTCCCTATCTTTGACACTAGTGATGTCAGATATCTTTTTCATATGTTTAATTGATCTTTTTTTTTCTTTTGTGAAGTATCTGTATATTTTCTTGGCTGGGAAGTTCCTTTTAAACACGTACATTTTAAGCAGAATTGATTAACTATTGGTTAGCAGAAGGCTTGAACAGACCTCTCTAATAGCAATAACTGATAATGCCTATTTACCAAGGGTTTTATTGTATTTTAAGAACTTTCTCATACATGATCACATTTTATTATGTTTGTTGTAGCATTAGTCAGGTCTGTTTGGATGTGTTTTTGCAGAAGATGCAATATTTGTGTATGCAGTAGGTGCTCAATAAAGAGAAGATAAGTTGACCTTTTTTTCTGTTTTGTCTTTGAACAAAAGCACAAAAGAACAATAGCACAATAAGATTACAATACATTGTATTTTCTTCTTTTTTGTCCTGAACTATGAAAACTGACAACACTTAGGGCCTTAACATCACTGAGCTTTGTAAAACAAATAAACAAAAGACTTTCTTGGAGGGAGGGGTTTCTGTGGTCCTTTCCTGTTAGCAGGTGATGACAGGTCTGAAGATCACAGGAAGGGCCAGTTCCCCTCTCTATCAGAAGAGTCAGTCTCATCCCCTTTCCATTATTTTTTCCTCATCTTTCCCTCTTAAACAGGTCTACTTGGAGAACCGAAGCCCAGGCAAATCAGAGTGAGTACCAATAAATCTGCCCCTCCCTTCTTACTTGTCTCCCCAGCCCCAGCTCTCAGTCTGCCAAGTGATCAGAGATTTTGGCAGAAACCAAAGTGAACCATTCTAGTCTCAACCCATACTCTGTGTATGGTGGGTTTTTTCCCTAATTCTACTTTTTAACTTTTTTCTGATTATAAACATTATTATATAGGCATGTTGTTAAAAAACAGAAATATCCAAAGCAGAAAGTGAAGTACTTAAAATAATGGTATTTCAATTGTGAAAAAAATTAACAATAATCAAAAATAGTTTGAAAGGCTGAATGAAAGTCCATGTTTAATAAATGGTCATTACAGTAACTCTGAGCCAGCCACAGTGCTGGAGCAGTTAATCTGCTCAAGTCATTTAGTCCTCCCTTCAGCCCTGTGAGCTAGGCTGATGAGCAAACAGAAGCTCAGAGGTTAGATAAGTGGTAGCACCTGTATTCAAGTCAAGTCCATTTATCTCTAAAACAAGAGCTCTTACCACTATTGCTGAAGCTACACATTTCCTAAGGCTCAGGCCATGATTTCTTCTCTGCTTTATGTCACTTCTCATTCTGCCCTAACATCTGGAGGGCTGGGTGTTCAGGTAGAAGCCTGGATACGCTGCCACTGTGAATTAGTACCAAGTGCAGGCAGCACAGAGCAATGGGTAAGGCACATGACTCGCTGTGGGTCTCGGGCTTTGTTTATCTGTCTTTCTCAGAGACTTGCTGCATAGACCAATGCATTGCATGTGTGCAGTCCTCAGAGCCGCCTGTCGTACAATAAATGCTTGGTAAACACGGGCGGCATGAGCATTGAGCTGAGCTGTTCCTTCCACAGTCTCTCTGCCACGCCTGGTCGATCTGGACTGGAGAGTGGATATCAAAACCTCCTCAGACAGCATCAGCCGCATGGCCGTCCCCACCTGCCTGCTCCAGATGAAGGTACATTCACTATCATGCCATTAGAAAGAAGAGGCAGCACCCCTATGGCCGTCTAAAACACTAGTCTCCAAGGTTTGGGATCTCTAACCCATATATTTTTTTAAATTACCATCCCCTTTATCCTCCTTTGTTTAGTTACAACGTGTATGTGTACTACTGCAGTAACATACTATGGACATATTAAAACAATAAAACAAATACAAAACATATTTTTAAAATAATTTGCTGATACCTAAAGGTAACCCTATACTCTTAGCAGTTTAGCTTTAACAATAGTAGTGTGCTTCCAGATTTTGAATAGCCTGCCCGATCATTTCAGTGTACTTCAGCAACTTCTTGTCCAGTGATTAGGCTGTCATTATTTGTAATGTGGCTGCTCAAGAGTTTCTACTAGTCGCTGGGAGCAGTGGCTTACGCCTGTAATCCCAGCACTTTGGGAGGCCGAGGTGGGTGGATCATGAGGTCAAGAGATCAAGACCATCCTTGCCAACATGGTGAAACCGCATCTCTACCAAAAATGCAAAAATAAGCCGGGCGTGGTGGCGGGCTCCTATAGTCCCAGCTACTCAGGAGGCTGAGGGAGGAGAATCGCTTGAACCAAGGAGGTGGAGATTGCAGTGAGCCGAGATCACACCACTGCACTCCCACCTGGTGAAAGAGTGAGACTCCGTCTCAAAAAAAAAAAAAAAAGTTTCTACTAGCAGCTGGAGAAGTGTCAGGTCTTCATTTTCTTGCTCACATACCTTTGCTTCATTGGTGTTGTCTTCATTTTATAGTTATTTTCAGGAATCTTTTTAAGCTACATATCCATATTGTAGTGTTTGTTTAGTTAAAACTAGAAATGTAATGCTGTATCTACATAACCAGACACCCAGAAAGTTACCACTTGTAAGAAAATGAAGAAGGGTGCCTCTAGCAATTAAGTTTTAAATATTAGTGAAGCTTAACTTCTTTATTTTTTAAAACTAAAGGTTGTAAGATTGTTCCTGCATCCCAATGCAGGATTGTCTGAAGTATCCAACAGAACCTGCTCCTTAAAGTACCAATGTAAACACACGTAATGTTTTCTTGCTTGAATGCTGAGAGTTAGGGTATCAGAGAGGTGAGTGAGCCTTGGCTTGGCCTTCTTTGATACCTACCCAAGGCACTTGTTGCAAATGGAGACTGACCCAGGCCTCTGAGGTATCTCCTGTACTCTCCCTTACTGCTAAATGACCCAAGGGCTGGTACTCTCTAGTGCTTAGGAAAGAGCCTCTCTTCAGAGGTTCAGCAGAACTGAGCTCAGCCTCGCAGGTTCAGGGCTCACTTACAGGGATATGGGAAAAGAGGCAGCTTTGACTTTCTGGGCTGTGTTCTCGTTTCAGATCCAAGAAGATCCCAGCCTATGCGGAGACAAACCCTCCATCTCAGCTGTCACCGTGGAGCTGAGCAAAGAAACACTGGACACCATGTTAGATGGCCTGGGCCGCATCCGAGACCAACTCTCTGCCGTGGCCAGTAAATGATCCAGCCAGCTGCCAGGGCCACTGCCATGACCCAGCTGCTCATGAGTGATAAATGTCTCCCCATATGCAGGCTGCCCTTGCAGCTGCAGCTGACAACAGGCAGGATGGTGGGGACAGCAGGGGGCTACTGCCATCCAGAAGTTACAGTTGGATTGGGAAGAAGCAGCCAGATCCCCCGCTGTTCTCACTCATCTTCTTTCTCTTTCTGAAGCTGGAGAGCAGAAGCCCCCATCTTTGAAAAGCTCCTGAGTGCAACTTAATTACCACCATGGCAGGGTGAGGGAACATTTGCATCGTCAGCTGCCTCTGCATAGCTGTTTGAGAAATTCAGGCCCAAATCATGCAGCCTATCCAATAAGTAAGTTTATTTCCAACATTAGCTCTAATTAGTTCATTTCCAATCCCAGAACACATGGAGGGAATCGGACAGGTGATGCCAGCAGTTCCTGCTCCTCTGTCAGGGAAGCCAGGCAGAGCCCACAGAGCATGGTCCATCCAGAGTGTTCCCTGAGCCCCCTCCACCATACTGGAACCCCTCTTCAGTGTAGGAAGTCTGAAATGGGTGCTAATTCCCTTCTTCATGAAACCAGGGCCCTCTTCCTTCATCTAATGCAGCCACTCCTAGGTGAAGAAGTGGGAATAATTGGAACTAAACAACAGTTCTAAAACTTCCATGATTTTTGTAGCTTCTTTTGTCCCCAAGTTGAAGCTTTTGGCCAGTACCTTCTCTAGTTTTTAAAGATGATCCCAACTTCCTAATTCCCAGCTAAGCCCTTGACCCATGGTGTGACATGAAATCAGGCAATTGAATCGCACCACTTTCTGTGTTTTCACCTGTTACGTAGAACAAAAGGAAGCAAGGTGGCCAGGCGCAATGGCTCACGCCTGTAATCCCAGCACTTTGGGAGGCCGAGGCAGGCAGATCATGAGGTCAGGAGATCGAGACCATGGTGAAACCCCATCTCTACTAAAAATACAAAAAATTAGCTGGGCGCGGTGGCGGGCATCTGTAGTCCCAGCTCCTCGGGAGGCTGAGGCAGGAGAATGGCGTGAACCTGGGAGGCAGAGCTTGCAGTGAGCCGAGATCGTGCCACTGCACTCCAGTCTGGGTGACAGAGAAGGACTCGTCTCAAAAAATAAAAATAAATAAAAAGGAAGCAAGGCTAATCATCAGTATGTGCTTGTTACAAGAGCTATGATGAAGGCACTCCTTCGAGTTTAACCAAATGAGATCATCTCTGTCATGTGCCTCACGCCTCACAGGGACTCCATGTGTGAAGATTCCCCCTTCACTCACCAGATCATCTCCATGGCAACAGCTTGCAGCCTGCTCTTGGAGTGCTTTGTTTTGGCAGCTTCTCTGCTAGTTTGTGTATGGAGTGAATGGAGGAGGTAAATCCACAGATTAAGAATATGCTGTCAGGAGTCAGGCAGCCAAGGTCAGAAGCCAGCTCTGCTTCTCAGTGGTAAGGTGCTTGACTTCTACATCTCAATTTTCACCCACTTTGTACTTTTTTCCTAAATTAAATGAGTATAATAGTAGTACCTACTTGATAGGACTTTTGTGAAAATTAAATGATATAATGCACCTAAAAACAGTACTGTTACAACTAATAGGAAAGGCTTTGATTATTAATGGATGAGAGTAGAAAGCTTGGTGCATTTATTGTCTCATCTACTATAACAGAGTTGGTGTGAGAATTAGTATTATCATCCTCCCTTTATTGACCAGGAAACCAGCTCATTGAGATTGAGTCATCTGCTGGTAAATGGTCTCATTAAGAGGTGGACCCATATTTCTCTAGCTTTCTCTTTACAACACAGGACTTTGCAAGGAACATATAATTCTGTGACTAGCGCCATTTGGAAAATGTTGAAACTGAAGTAGAGATGAGAGATCTTACGTCTGCCTACCCAGTGAGATACGAGGAAGGTCAAGGGAAAAAAAATTCCAAGCTCTTCTTTATCTGCTATAGGAAATGAACATTCAATTTTTTGCATGCAACGACAAGAGGTCAAGGACCCCAGAAGCCAGCCCGCTACTTCCAAGTTGAGAGCCCCTGGTCATACCCTCCAGTTGAGCTCAGATTTGTCACAAATTTACCCCTCTCCTTTCCTTCCATTCCCCATGACCTGCAGAGAGAGATGTCAGATACCTTCCTCTTGGCCTCCCATGGGCATCCATAAGAAACTTACTTGAAGCAAGAAGCCCAGTATAGGTGTCTGGGCAGTTGGACATTTCCTCTAGCCAGATCTGTCCGAATAGAGCCATCTGGGTACATGACGCAGAGGGCATTTGATAAATAACTGGAAAAGTCAATAAATCTTTGCTACCCTTCACCTCGTGATCATTTAAGGCATTTGTTTTCCTCTGTTAGTGATGATGGATTGTTTGTAGATACCGTATTTCTGGTTGGCCTGGCCCTATCTCAGAAGGGCCTCCTGGCTCTTATCTGTTGATCTCAAAGGAAGTTGGCTCATTCACTGCTTGTCTGGTTTCCCAGTAGTAC